>NC_000008.11:35011617-35314648 GCF_000001405.40 Homo sapiens
AGGGAAAATAAAGAATTGCTCTCTTTATTAAAAAACTTATAAATTCCACAATGGAGTCTGTCAAAGCAGATCATGTACACGGAGTTGATAAAGGTAAATAAATTGGCACAGACAATGTCAGTCAACCATGAAGAGTGCTATTCGGACAGGTCTAAAGGCAGGAAATCAACCCCATCTTATAAGTTTGTAAAATTTCCCTCCAATTATGCAAATCAATGAGTATCGTCAGCACTTAGACAGAAAGGGTCTCTGGCTTTACAAAGTTCAGGGCAGTTGACCTGCTTTATGAAGCTAGATGAAGCCAGCTCCTCAGTGCCCACTGGGGTCTGTACTTTTACATCTCTTCCATTGCAGATGTGTGGCCAACCAAGCTCATCAGCTTTTCCCACATATCATTATTAAACCTGAGGCTTTGTGTTTTTGAAATATATAATAGAATTTAAGTAGAATAAAAATCCTAAAGGAATGCTTAGTGCATTGCAGTGTTGATATATTTGGTTTTATTTTTGTTACCCGCTAATCTTGTTAAACTTTTCTGTCTGTCTAGAGTGAGTCACCTGTTCACTGATGTACTCCAAGGATAAAACTGATTTTAGAGCACCAGTAGTCAGCTGCTAATGAGTAGGAGGAGAAGTCCTCAAATATCAGAAGGAAATTTTTATTTTAATAATATTCACTGCATTTTTTTCTAATTATAAAAGTAGGAACTCTTCCTTTGAAAACTGATATAATTTTTTTTTACTGTAATTGTCCATATTCCTGCTTTATGTTACTTGAGATTCTGAATCAATAGATCTGAGGTGGGACCAAGACATTTGTGATTTTGATAAATTCTCCAGGTGATTCTGAGGTACACCAATTTTGAGAACCGATTTTGAGTTTTATATGCTTTCTGTTATATTAACAAATTTTAACAAAATATTTTATAAGTATATTATTAATTCGTTAAAAACTCTTTGAAAGCATGATTTTCAATGGTCTCAGTTTCCCATCATAGGAATAGATCATAAAGCTTTTTATATTTTTTATTTATTATTATATATATTTTAATATGTAAGTTTATTTGAATTTTACTATTACAAACTATGTAGCACTAAACATTTCTCTATATAAACCTTTCTGCCCTTCTGATAAATTTCTTCTTAGATTTCTAAAAGTAATATTACCAAGTCAAGAAAAAAATGCATTCTTTGTCTTTAAAGCATGTTGCTAAATTATTTCCTGGAAAAGTTTTAATAGTTTATACTAGCAGTTATAACATTGCTCTTCTGACCCCACTCCACGAGTTTTAAATGTTATAATTATTTTTGTGATTGCAAATTTGACAGCTGAATGCTGTTATCTCCTTGTATTCTCAATTTGCATGTATTTGAGTAAAAAGGTTACCATTTTTTTTTTCTGTTTATGGGCTCGTGATATTTTTTTTCTTAGTGAACTGTCTGCTCATATTCTTTTTCAAGGCAGAGTTAAAGGTCTAGATAACCACAGGTGGCCAAGAGATTTATTTTACTTTATTTTATTTATTTATTTATGTATTTATGTATTTATTTATTTATAGTGACAGAGTCTTGCTCACTCTATCACCCAGGCTTGAGTGCAGTGGCAGGATCATAACTCAATAAAGCCTCCAACTCCTGGAGTCAAGTGATCCTCCTGCCTCAGCCTCCCAGAGTGTTAGACACAGGAGAGTATTTCAGATGCTGAATTTTGGGATTCAAAGTGCTCAACCTGTAAGTGTGATTAAATGCAACCACCAACCTTAATCAGTGGCAGCAGCCACACAGCTGAATGAACATAGAAGGAAGCACACATCCATGTCAACTGGTTTCACTTCAAATTCACAGACTCTTTGTTCTGCCCAGCCATTCCACTATATTTCTAATCCAACAATTCACCCCTTTCCTAGGACCAATTATAACTTCCCTCTTTCTATAAGCATTTAAAACATACTCATCAGTTCAGCTCATTAAGAGGTGGAGCATATTTCCCCACATTTTGACTTTGGATTTGCCACTGTGACTTGCTTTGCCAATAGAATGGAACAAAAGTGACAATATCAGTTCCAAGTTTAGGTCTCAAGTGAGGCTGGGCATGGTGGGTCATGTCTCAGCACTTTGGGAGACCAAGGTGGGAGGATCGCTTCAGCCCAGGAGTTTAAGACCAGCTTGGGCAACATGGTAAAATCCCATCTCTACAAAAATACAAAAAAAATTAGCCAGGCATAGTGGTGTGCACCTGTGGTCCCAGTTACTCAAGAGGCTGAGGTGGGAGGATTGCTTAAGCTTAAGAGGTAGAGGTTTCTGTGAGCCGTGATTGCACAACTGTACTCCAGCCTGCGTGACAGAGTGAGACTGTCTCGAAAATAAAAAATGAAACAGAAAGGTCCCAAGTGGCTTTAAGTTCCTTCACTGGCCTTCATGTGTTTTAGCCATTCCACAAGCCTGGGCCTCAGAATAGGAGACATGTGGATTAGACCTGAGCCTAATCCCTGGAGACAAGCTGACCCAGCTGCTGGGCTTGAAAAAGAGCTGCACAGCTTCTCTAACCCAGCTTAGATGTGCTGACCCCTATTGCACCTGCAGGGTTACACAATGGTCACGGCTATGCGTCACTAAAATGGACTGGTATTTGCTGTCAGCCTTGTTGCATCCATAGCTTCCTGCTGCCTTATGATTAAGCTGTGTTACCTAAGGTCAGCCCCTCTATTGTACACATTAGATTCCAATTCAAAACCACTTAATCTTCCTAACAACTGTTGCCCCTCTCTCTATTGAAATATCAAGTTTTCCTTCTCTTCTGAATCAATTCTATCATAAAAAAATAATGAAATATCTAACTTCTTTTAAAATCCTTCCTGACTCAATACTTCTAGTAACAAACCAATTTATCTCTTTCTTTTTAAAGCAAATTTCTACATTTTCTCCTATTCTCTTCCAAATTTCTCTTGAACCAACTCTAATTAGGCTTTTATTTCTACCATTCCACCAAAACAGCCTTGCCAAGGCTAACAAAAACCTCCATGACGTGAAAAAAATAAAGGTCAATTTTCAATCATCAGCTTATGTAAATGACTAGGAGCTTTTGGGACAGCCGTTCACTCTTTGTTCTTTGAAACCATTTATTGACTTGGCTCTCAGGACATGAACAGTAGGAGAATAGGCCACCCCAAAATATGCCACTTTGGACTATAGGTTATTTTGAGCTGAAGATAATTATTAAGCAGAAGACAAAAAACTCTTTACCCACCCTATCTTTACCAGGAATGATGGGAAGATGTTTTTTTCTTTTCTTTTTTAGAGAGAGTTTCGCTCTTGTTGCCTAGGCTGGAGTGCAATGGCGCGATCTTGGCTCGTTGCAACTTCTGCCTCCCGGGTTCCTGGGTTCAAGTGAGTCTCCTGCCTCAGCCTCCAGAGAAGCTGGGATTACAGGCATTCACCACCACACCCGGCTAATTTTGTATTTTTAGTAGTGATGGTGTTTCTCCATATTGGTCAGGCTGGTCTCGAGCTCCTGACCTCAGGTGATCCACCCGCCTTGGCCTCCCAAAGTGTTGGGATTTCAGGCGTGAGCCACTGAGCCTGGCCGAAAGGATTCTTAATCAACAAAGACAACTCCAGAAGAAAGTACATAACATACCTTACCAACTAGCCTTCCTTTACCAATAATTTCACCATATATTTGTCTTTCCACAATTTGCCACCTCCAGAAGCTCAAAGTCCTCTTCCTCTTACTTATCACTTTGGCATAAAATTATTATTATTATTACTTTGCTAAGATGTCGTATAAGCTTAAGTTCTAATCCCTTCTTTGAATTACTCATCATAGAGTGCTTCCATATAGATGAGTGATGCCCATGTTAATAAAAATCTGTGTTTTCTTCTCTTGTTAATTTGTCTTTTGTCAGTCTAACTGTCAGGGTCCCAGCCAAGAACCTAAGATAGATAGAGAAAAATATTTTTTCCCTCCACTACAATTCTTATTCTTTTGGTTTTCCTCCAATCCTCACTGGTTCCTCCTCCCTATCTAATTTACTAGGCCCTTCTGTTCATCACAACCCCGTATACTGGGGATACTCTAGTGCTCAGATTTTAGATTGCATCTCTCTTCATCTTTACCTTTGTATTAAGTGATCTCATTTGGTCTCTTGGCTTAAATACCATAAACAGGTTATTGAACCCCAAATTATTTCTCCAGTCCAGGTATGTCATTCAAACATAGAATTTATATTTACAGCTTCCTAAGGGAACTTAGAATATGGAAAAAGCATCTGAGATTTATGGTTCGGATTCTTACGTATGCCAACTCACATACAGGCTCCTCCTTGCCAATCATTATAAAAACAATTCTTAAAATAAGGATAAATATTAGAAGAGAAAGACTTTTATATTTTACTTTTTAAAAGTACTCTATGGTAGACAGTTAAATGGAAAATAAAAATACTGAGAGTAAAGTAGAAGAGAAAATAAAATGTATCCTGTAAAAGCTAAAAATAGAAAAGTTGGCTGGGTACAGTGGCTCACGCCTATAATCCCAGCATTTGGAAGGCCAAGGTGAGTGGATCACGAGGTCAGGAGTTCAAGACCAGCCTGGCCAAGATGGTGAAAACCCATCTCTACTAAAAACACAAAAATTACCTGGGCGCCGTGGCAGGCGCCTGTAATCCCAGCTACTTGGGAGGCTGAGGCAGGAGAATCACTTGAACTCGGGCGGCAGAGGTTGCAGTGAGCCTAGATCACGCCACTGCACTCCAGCCTGGGCAACTGAGCGAGACTCTGTCAAAAAAAAAAAAAAAAAGAAAGAAAGAAAGAAAAGTTAAAACTCTAAGAGAAGGTTAAAAGTTAAAAATAAAAAGATAAAAAAGATGAGATTTATAATAAAAGGTAAAGAGCAAGAAGCCAATGAGATAAAAGTTTAAACACATTAAAAAATAAAAAAATTAGGATAAAAGGCTAAAACCTATAAGACAAAAATTTAAATATGTAAAAGAAAAATGGATTAAAGATTAAAAATAGAATAAGTTACTTTAAATGTAAAGTTGAAAAATGTTAAACTGAATAAGTAAAAAGCATTAGGAGAGAAACGTTTTTAAATAAAAATAAAAATGAAATGCCTGAATATTAGAGAAACAGATAGGCTTAAAAATATGGGAAAATCCTCCAGCAGTTGACTGGGAGCAAGAATTGCTTGTAGCACATTTCTTAGGTCTCTTTAAGTACCTGTGGCATTCCCCTTCCTCCAGTGCAACTTGTCCTTTGAAGCAGAACTTTCCTTCCTGAGCCTCACATCTAGAAAGCCTCTCAGGGAGTTATCTTTTATCGAAGCCCTGGGTTCCATTTTTATATACTAACAGTGGGGCTGAGCTTCGGGTTGACATAAGCAACACCAATTTCAGCCTCTAGAATACTCTCGGAGAAAAGAAAAGAAAATATGTGATATAGAAACTCAATACCTATCACATACATTTATCTATTGAGTGTATTTGTAAAGCACTTTTTCATATATTATCTCCCTTTGACTTTTATTCATAAGTTTGGCAGAAATAGTTTGCACCTTCAAGAGGAAACACGTTTTTAGAGCTTAGAAGCTTACAGAGCTGACAAGTGTGGAGTTAGATCATATACTATGAAGAAAGAGTGGTAAATATGAGCCTATTCCTTCTGAAGCTAAAGAAGAAGAAACCACATGTAAAAATTCATAAAATAGGAGGCAGAACTCAGAATGGAGAAGAGGAAGCCTTTTAGAATTTTTGCAGTGAAGCTCATGAACTCAGCAGTGCTGGAGGACCTCTGTGAATTGCCTTAGCAAGAAGGAAATCTCTAGAAGGGCCTCTGTGCCATTTCAGTATAACACCTCTCCTGTTTTCTACTTGCCCTGCCATATGCAATCTATCCCACAGCCATTTGTGCAGCCACCTAGTGACCTTGCCACTGCAGGAAAGAAATGAGAAATTTTGAGGACAGCTGCATTCCCTGGATTTTCATGGCCTTGGCATAAAATATTTAGTACAGGTGCTTTCTGAGCAGTGAACTTTGGGGGAAGGTTTGCAGAGTGCTGTGAGCCACAAAATCACCTTTCTGCCCACAAAGGGTGGCCCCAGCCTCACAGGCCATGGTATTCTGTAAATACTAAGGCCAGAAAAAGGAGGATCATTGCTTCTTGTGCTATCATTAGAGAATTCCCCCTTCTTCTAGGCTTTCCCAGACCTTGCTATAAAAAGAAGCGAATGGGCTTTCTGCTGATCTTTAAAAGATGCATTTTATAACCAAGGATTAACATAGATTTGGACGCCCCTTTGGGTTTGAGAGAACATAATTCATTGACAAATCAAGGTGTTTGATGTTTGCAAGGGTCTGGAAGGATAGGCGAGGACAATCATTGATTCTCCAGCCTCTGCATCCTGCAATTTTGGATCTTGTTAATATGCTGACTTGATTTTCATTGCTCTTGAGTTTTTGAAAGAGAGAAGCAAGAAGGCATGCAAAAGAAAAGTTAAGGGAAACAAAATAAAGATAGCAAGACATTATAGGTAATAGAGGAAGATATATAAGGTATTTTTTATAAAGAGAGAGTCAAACTGTCTAAGAATAACAAGAAAGCCATGAATGTTATAGAGGAATCCAGAAAGCCTCTCCTTTAGCTTCTGTGGCACATTCATGTTTATTCTCTGCTCTGACCTTCCATTCCCTTTCTGTCTCTTTTATTTTTCTTTCATTTTAAAAAGCTAACCTCATAGCTTCTTTCTAGCATCTTCACCCCCAGTAGCAACAGCATGACCATCTATCTGTTCATTTGTCTTTTATTTAACAAATATGACTGTGTGACTGTTCTGTGCCAGGCACTATCCTAGGCACAGAGAATGCTAATGACAATAAATGCTTACATTGATATCTGCTGTTTGCAATAATCGAAGTTATAGAAAATGAGCCAAGAACCTTCCAAAAGAAATACTGGCCCAGGCTTTCTTCACTACGATAACATCTGCAGTCATCAATTGGCTGCAGTGTCACTACAGATGCCATCTTCCTTCCCTTTGCAGAAGAAAATAGTTCTCATTGATCAATTCTGTCAATTTCTTTTTTTTTTTTAACTTTTAAGTTCAGGGGCACATATGCAGTAATGTTACTTAGGTAAACTTGTGTCATGGGGGCTTGTTGTACAGATTATTTCATCACCCAGGTATTAAGCCTAGTACCCATTAGTTATTTTTCCTGATCTTCTCCGTCCTCGCAGCCTTCATCCCCCAGTGGACCCCAGTGTGTGTAGTTCCCCTCTATGCATCCATCATTTAGCTCCCATTTATCAATGACAATGTGCAATATTTGGTTTTCTGTTCCAGTGTTAGTTTGCTAAAGATAGAGGCCTCCAGCTCCATCCACGTTCCTGCAAAGGACATGATATCATTTTTGTTTATGGCTGTATAGTATTCAATGGTGAAGATGTCAAAAGCAATTGTAACAAAAGCAAACATTGACAAATGGGATCTAATTAAACTAAAGAACTTCTGCACAGGAAAAAAGAGCTATCCACCAAGTAAACAGACAACCCACAGAATGGGAGAAAATTTTTGCAAACTATGCATCCAACAAAGGTCTAATATCCAGCATCTATAAAGAATTTTGACAATGTCTTATTTCCCTAAATTTTGCCCTGTTGGCAGGAACATTATAACAGGTATCCTTCCTGTATCCAATGTCAAACTATAGATGACCTCTATATTTAAAGGAGAAGACAATATACTATATTTAAAGGAGAAGACAATAAATAGGAAGGAGTGACAATATCAGGCAGGTCAGAATCAAATAAAATAAATCAAATACACACATCAAGTAAAATAATGTAACCAAAAATAATTTTTTGAAAAATCTTTACTTTTTAAATGAAACTCATTCTTCTAGTGAACCCCATTAAAGAAGCTTGGGATTAAGATCAGAAGGCATTACATTATGAGGTTTTGACACCAGGAACTGTGTCAGGGATGTCTGAGTCTGGACTAAGCTGCAGATGCTAACAAGGAACCCAAAGGAGATGCTAACAAGGGAACTGAGGTGGGATCATCATGTCTCAGAAATCAGCAGAAACATCCTGGAATCCAGAGACCAGGAAAGATGAGAAATACCCCAGAAATGCCAGAGAAAACTGTGTGGGGGGCAGAAAACTAGTGGCTATTCTCCCCACAGCTTCCCCTGCGCTCAGTTTTCATCCTGGGAAGAGATGTGGAGAGAAATCATCCTGATAGAAAATTTGAATTTCAAGTTACCTATCAAGAGCTTTAGTTACTATCATTTTACAAGATTCTTTATTCTTCCTCAAGAACAGGATGAGATGACATAAAATATAGAGGAAGTCACAATTTGAGGGGACATAAGGGTCATTGTATTCCAAATGACTCTGTGGTACAGGCATGGATCTACTTGGGCTAAAACTAGAACATTTTTAGGGAAGAGAGACACAAATATAGCTTGGGTGTCTGTTGATCTGTTGGCAGAATGCCAGAGGAGAAGACAGACCAATGAGTGCTGTCAACTTTAGAATGAACCTGACCTTATTTGTTTAAAAGTGCTCGGAACCATGCCTTCTACGTGAGAACCTGGGCTCATACTGGTGAACACGAGTATCTTAGTCCATCTATTGCTGTTATAAAAGGATACTGCAGACTGGGTAATTAATGATGAACAGGAATTTATTTGCTCACAGTTCTGGAGGCTGGGAAGTCCAAGATTGAGGGGCTGGCATCCGGTAAGGGCCTTCTTGCTGCATCATCTCATGGTGGAAGACAGAAGGGGAGGAGAGCATGCCAGAAGGAGAGGAAGGGGACTGAACTCATCCTTTTATCAGAAACCCACTCCCCCTCATAATGACAATCCATTTAATGAGGACAGAGCCTTAATGACCTAATCACTTCTCATTAAGCCCTGCATCCCACCTCTGTTGCATTGGGGATTAAGTTTCCAAAACATGAACTTTATGGCACATATTCAAACCTTAGCAATGTATAAAGAAAGCCAATGTTAAAAGGGCATAAGTATTTTTTTTCTAGGATAACTGAGAAAAAAGACTACTTGATCAAACACTTTCATATGTCACATATGCTTTTGTCACCTGAGACCAATTTCAGAAAGCACAAATAAAAGTAAAGAACTAATCAAGTAAATAAATTAGCTCTAATGAGTACAACACATTGTTTACACCATGTTTTGAGGCAAAGATAACTGACATATCACCTAGGAATTGAAAAAGGAAAGAAAAGTCTCATAATACTGATTCTTTCTCACCAGTTTTATTATTTATTTTTTAATGTAATGACATTGGAAACACAGTCTGGCCTAATCAGGAGATCTCTGCTGTTCTTTCACGTTCTTTACTCAGGCATTGCAAGGACAGAATCTGAAGGTTCAATTGAAGGGAGGGTCTTAGCATGGAATATTTGTGTCTTAGTTGGATGCAAAATCTCCCCTAATTCCCAACATTGTTCAATAATAAATATTTAACAGGAAGCCAAGCAGAGATGGAAGGTATTCAACTCAGAGGAAGATGTAGCACACCAGGCCTGTAGTTAAGCCAAATTACTACATTTTGCAATTGAAAGTAACAGAGTTATAAAGGAACTGATGGAAAAATTGAACCACCTTGTAAAGAGCATTGACTCAGAAAAATATTAATCCATCTGCAGGCTTAAATTATTTTCATTTAAATATGTATAAAGTGCATTTTCATTTAAACAGGAATTTTTATTTAAACATGTATTAACATTTTATTTAAACATATCTCACATTTATACATAGGTAAACCTGTAAAACATTAAGGGGGGAAATTTGTAAGTCCAGGTAATGGGGATTAGACAAAGGTGATCTTTAAAACAAGGGCTGTGGCTGTCATACCCTGACACAGGTAAAAGGCTCTGAAATGATTGTCTTGTCTGGTCTATTCTGTAAATCAGATGGAATAAACCCTTCATTAGGCACTAACATGTTATTGGTGAGCCTTCTATTCTTCTTCAAAATCTTTTCCAATGCTGGTATTATGATTTCCTCAATCTCACCACCATTGCTCATTCAAAAATTTGAGAAGATAAAGATACGAGATTTCACAGAGATTCCAGAGGCTCTAGTTATTATTAAGAAAAAGAGAAGCCAGGCGCAGTGGCTCACGCCTGTAATCCCAGCACTTTGGGAGGCTGAGGCGGATCACTTGAGGTCAGCAGCTTGAGACCAGCCTGGCCAACATGGTGAAACCCCCTCTCTACTAAAAATACAAAATTAGCCAGGTGTGGTGGCAGGCACCTGTAATCCCAGCTACTCGGGAGGCTGAGGCAGGAGAATCGCTTAAACCCGGGAGGCAGAGGTTGCAGTGAGCTGAGATCATGCCACTGCACTCCAGCCTGGGTGACAGAGAGAGACTCCATCTCAAAAACAAAAACAAAAACAAAAACAAAAACAAAAAAAGAGACAGAGAAACATGCAAAAATAATAATAAATAATTAAAGGAGGAATCTTCAGAAGTAGATTGCAAACCAATCTCTTTTAAATACATTAATGCAGCTTCTGTCTTTAAGGCAGTCCTGTCTTAAATCCCTTAAAGAGCAAGGATAGCCTTGTGTCTGTTTTGTATGTGGGATTCTGCCCATTGAATTCCCTGAAGCAAGGAAATAATAAATAAATACCAATTATGAACCCACTATGAAGATTTTAAATAATCCAAGCTATTCCTTTCCCTTCTAGCTTTCTTTCTTTCATCCTTTTGCCCTTGTTCTCTATACCTTCTCCATAAAAGGAGATTAAGTCTGATCCCTTGGGGCCATGATTTTTTCTGAAGACAAAAGAAAAAGACAGCAGCATCCAGCCTCTTTCCCACCCTGTTTCCCACCTCCTTTCTGTTCATATCCCATGAGGGACCTAATTGTCTAACATGGGTCAGATATGAATATACTAAAGGAAGATTTATGGGAGGTTGCCTCTTTCCACTTAAAATTCTTCAGCTACACACATCTTCTGGCAGAGTCTTGCGAAATAGAAAAGCTTCAATTGATTTAATTAGAATCCCTCTCTTTTCTTCCTGTAAAAAAGAGAAAAAACGTCACTGAATTCAAGTGACATTTTGCTAATAGTGATCATGTCATTCAGTGAATACTTAAACGTTTGTAGGCTGCTGAAAGTTTTTTTTTAGTTTTAAACACTGATTCACTGAGTAGTATGTTTACACATTTTATATACATTAAAAGTTTTAATACATTTTGAAGCATCCAAATAATATAAAGGAAAATTAACATTTACAGTAATAACAAGGGTTCACATTTATTTAAAGAATACTACACATCAGACACTTCTGAGTTTACCTAACTCATTTAATACTGCACACTACAATCCTGTAAGATGAGTCATCTTATCCCCATTTAACACAGGAAGAAGCTGAGACAGGTTGACTTACTCACACAAGGATCCATGAGCTGGAAGTGGCAAAATCAACATTTGAACTCTGGCAAGCTGTCTCTGAAATCTGTGTTCTTAATGAAATGAGGAAAGGAAGAAATGAAGACATCTTTGAAAGAGAAAAGAAGAAATGTATGCAGCAGGTGGGGCAGTCGTTGAAAGATTAAGAGATACACAAATGCCCACTGGAGAAGAGATGGCAGGAGATAAACATCATCTGGGACACAGGTGTGTCCCTCAAATCTCTTCCAGAGATGGAGAAGGGAGTAAAGTGGGTAGTTTCCTGTGGTGAAGATGAGCTTAGGAAGACAACAGCTGATTCAGATTGAGAGTCGATCCACAGACAGCCTAGCAGAGCAATCCAAGAGTAAATCCAAGGCTATGGATTTAGAAGATTCTAGAGAGAAAAAGAATGTGATGCCAGAGGATGTTCAAAATGCACCAATAAGTGAGAGAAAGGGCCTTTTCCACAGGGTACCTTAACAGGAGAGGTTGGGGAAAGGTGTTGTTAAGTGGAAAAGCCCATTTCAGCTGTGTTCACAACTGACCATGGTAAAGATGCAGCCTTAACTAGTCCCAGAGCACTCACAATAGGAAGCTTCACTACCATCTATTCTCGACAGCAGCCAGAGTCATCTTTGTAAAATGTAAATCAGGACATGTATATCTCTGTTCCAACTCCTGAAGGAACAAAACTCAAACTTTCTCCAGAGCCCACATGCCCTTCCACTCTGGCCCTCATTCACTGTGCTCCAACCACACTGGCCTCCCTGGTGCTCTGCCAGTCTACTAAGTGAAACCATCTGCCTCAGGGCCTTCTCACCTTCTCACCTTGAATTCCACTTGCCTGGAATTCAATTTCCTGAAATATCAGCAACACTCACTCTCTTTCTTCTTTATGGTCTTTGTTCCAGTAGCCCCTTATATTGAGGCCTCTTTCACAAGGCACTTTCTGCCTGTACTGCCTGCTCTATGGTGTTCCGAACCCATATCACCACCTGGAATATTATCTTTTTATGTAACTTCAACTTTTATTTTAGATTCAGGGGGTATATGTGCAGGTTTGTTACATGGGTATATCACTTGATATTGAGGCTTGGGGTATGATTGATCCTGTCACCACAAGGCAGTGAGCATAGTACCCAATAGTTTTCAACTCTGGACCCTCCTCTCTCGCTCCTCCTTCTGGTAGTTCCCAGTGTCTATTGTTCCCATCTTTATGCGGAAGAATACCCGATGTTTAGCTCCCACTAATAAGTGAAAACAAGCAGTATTTGGTTTTTTGGTTTCTGCACTAATTTGCTTAGGATAATGGCCTCCAGTTGCATCTATATTCCTGCAAAGCGCATAATTTTGTTCTTTTTTACGACTGCATAGTATACCATCTGGAATATTATATATTTATTTATTTTCACTATCTCTTCCCACTGGAATGCAAGCTTCAGAGTGACAGACACTTCGTGCCTGTCATTGCTGTATGTCAAGCACTTAGCATAAAACCAGGCTCACAGTAGTCATTCCATAAGAGTTACTGAATCAGCAAATGCATTAGGCACTACTGAGACTTTTGAATAATGGGAAATGGGACTAAAAGGTAGGAAAAAGCCTTATTGTAATAGTCTTAGAAACCTGACTAACTGCCCTGAGGCTGAACTCAGCCCTCAGCCGTGTTATTTTTTACCTGCACAGCAATATTTCACCAATACAAATGAACATTTAAATATTGAGAGTTCACATAAAAATCCAGAAAATTGTTTTCAAAAAAACGGAAAAGATCTGGCAGCCACTGGACCCATATCCCCCTGTTTCAGCAATCATCTGACCTTGAGCAGCAGCTGCCCTGCTAAGACCAGGCCAACCTCCTCCACCTGGCACACACCCGCTATGGTCTCCTCAACATCAAGGCCAAGTGTCTATTGTTGCTTATGATTGCTATTGCACTGTTGTGTAGATTAAGGCAGTAGAACATTTCTCTGTAGCCGCATCCCTATCAATGGCAGGAAAAGACTAACAGAACAACATGATTCAAGAAAAATGGGAGTAAGTAAATTTCTTTGTAGAAGTGAAGACATTTCTCTATGTTTAAAATGCCAATATTGGACCTCCTGTTTTATATATAAGACCTGTCTAGACCCTGTAATCACTTGTGTATGCTCTACACAAACTGAGCAAGACAAGAGAAAATGGTAAGCCAGGCTGGCAGGCTTCTTGTTGACTGGACTTCAGTAGCCTTAGGGTAAGAAACATTGACTGAATTCCTATTTCTCCTTGTTTACTTTTGCATTCACTTCTTACTTGTTATTTTTTCCCTTCATTTCTAGAAAAGTCTCCTTGAAAAGAACTCTGCATCTCAGTTGAACAGCAGGAAATCTGTAACTTAGTATTAAACACTACGTACTCCGAACATTGCTAAGTGTTATATATATATTAGTTTGCTCAGTCTTCTCAACACAGTTAAACAATAATAATTATTATGGTTCCATTTAATAGATAGAGAAATTGAGGCACAGATAGAAAAAAAGCTTATAAAAACCATCAGAGTTATGAAATGGCAGAGGCAGAATTGAAACCCAGGCCTCTCTGGCTCTAAAATCTGTTCTCATAACCATCTCACTGAAGCGCCTTCACTGTAACACTACAGCAGAGTCTCACCACCTCTACATTATTGACATTTGGACAGGAGGTGGGGAGGTGGATGAGTGGAGTAGAGACATCCTATGCATTGTAGGATATTCAGCAGCTTCCTTGGCCTCTATCCACTACATGCCAGTAGCACTCTACCCCCACCCATTTTTGACAACCAAAAATTTCTCCAGATATAACTAAATGTTCCATCAAGGGCAAAGTGGCCCTTGGTTGAGAACCACTGAACTAAGAGGAAATGAAGGCTTGTTTGTTCCTTCTTGGCCAATCAAAGTAGAAGACTCAGAGGACCAAAAGGAAAGCAACATTTTGAACTTAAATTTTTTTGTATATAAAGTTTTTTAAAGAAATAAATCTAGGTACAGTATAGAAATGAGTTATATAGACAAAGAATGAACCTTGAGAAAAGCAGAAGAGATGGGAAGTAGTGATTGTCCTTCCATTCTCATCATGAATTTACTCCTCTCCAGCAATCATGATGTAATTTAAAGCAAAGGCACTGACAGTACCAATCTTGGTTGATTTCAGTGTGCGGCATAGGCAAAGATGACTTGGAAAGTTAGGAGAGGCAAAAAAGCTAGAAATACTAAAGTAGCCTAACAATGTACTAGGCATCTCATTGGTTTTTTAAAACATATGTACTAATTTTAAAACTGGTTGGTTTTATTTTTTGATAGAATTAAAGCAGACATTTAAAATTTTAACTGTATTGGTGGGGAGTGATGGCTCATGACTGTAATCCCAGCACTTTGGGAGGCTGGGGTGGGGAGATTGCTTGATCCTAGGAGTTTGAGACCACATTGGGCAACATAGTGAGACCTTGTCTCTATTTTTTTAAAAATCTGAATTGTTTGTAACACAAAGAAAGGATCAGTGCTTGAGGTGATGGATACCCCCTTTGCACTGATGTGATTATTGTGCATTGAATGCCTGTATCAAAATATCTCAAGTGCCCCATAAATATATACATCTATTATGTGCCTACAAAAATTTAAAATTAAAACAAAGTAAAATAAAATGTTCACTTTACACAATAAACTTGTGTTTCTGACATCAAAAAACTCACAAACAAAATATTACAAGAGTGAAACGATGATCTATGCTGCCCAGCTGCACTTCCGTACTGTTCTCTACTCTCACTAAGAGTGAGTGCACCATGTTTTGGAAAGGTTTGGTTCAGCGATATCTCATGGCAATAAGTTGTTATTTTAATATGTGCAATGATGGCTTCCGGATTTAATATTAGTTAGAAAATTTAGATTCAATAGTATATTTATAT
This sequence comes from Homo sapiens, assembly GCF_000001405.40. NCBI lineage: Eukaryota > Metazoa > Chordata > Mammalia > Primates > Hominidae > Homo > Homo sapiens. The sequence goes on from NC_000008.11 coordinate 35,026,966, forward strand.
TTCATAAAATAAATGTTGGTTGAAAAACCTAAAGGACATTTCTAGCTATAAAATAAGAATAAAACAGTAGAAAAGAGTGAGATATAGCTAATGCTCCTTTTCTGTATGTGTCTTTGAGTACGCCCTCCCTTTACTGAGGAAAGAATAATAGTACATCTGTGGTTTAGCGAAATAATGTTTTTTTGAGAACTGTTTGACAGGTAGCCTGTGTGCACAACAGTCCTAATGAGAGGGCACAGCGGCTTAGAGAAGACCTTTGCTTACAAGTAGGAGGGGCATCTCAAACTGGCTTCATCATAAAGGAAATTTATGAGAAAAATTCTCAAGGGTCATGCAAAATCCAAGGCTGTTATTAATAACCGGGACTCAGGAAGACAGGAGCAGAGCAGCCTGAGGATCTTGACAGCAGGAGTTCAACACCTTCCCTGGAGTTGTACTGTTCACACAGTTCAGCCCTCTGTTCCCAGCTCTGAGAATCTTGTTGGCCCTTCCTAAGTCAGGTTCTAATACTTGGTGAAATCAGCTGTGTCCAAGAGGTCTGAATCCCTTGGTAGAAAGATAGCTATGGGGGCTCATACAGTGCTGGGAGAGAGGGTAGTTCTCAGTGATTAAAGTGTAAGAGACAGTCCAATAGATATCTGGAAATATTATTTTGAGATAGAGGAAAACATAAATGCAATGTGGGGAGAAATAGGAATTCAAAAATCGCAAGAGTACAACACAGTGTTAAAGATTATAGTCTCTGAAACAAGTTTACCTGGGTTCAAATTCTAGCTCTGTCATACATGAAGTGTGTGACCTCAAGCAAGTCACTTAATCTCTCTGTGCTCAGTTTCTCCATGTGAAAAAGGAAGCCAATAGCAATACTTCACTTACATAGTTGCTGTGAGGAATAAATAAGTGAATATATTTAAAGTATTTAGATGGCATCTGGTTCATAGCAACTGCTAGATAAGTCCTTGCTAGTATTAAAAGGTTGAAGATGTGACCCAGATATGGCTGGCTGCCTGCGGGGAGCCTTGGCTCTTGACACTGGCCTAACTGTAGGGCAAAGGTCATACTAAGTTCAAATTTCGGATGTCCTTCCCAAGATTCAAAATTCCACAATGTATTAGCAAGATAAATAAACAGATGGTAGGTAGATAATAGACAGATAGATAGATAAGATAGATACATAAATAGGTACATACATACACAGATGTTAAGCTTACCTAGGAAGGCAAAGAAAGGTTTACATATATAAAGGACTACATACATACATATATAAAGGATTACATTTATATCAATAAAATGTAATAAAATCCTTACTAGGCACCTTTGATATTTCCTCAAACTCCTCTTTTGCTGTGGGTTTCTCCTATTTTCCCATGCAGGCTTTGAAGACTCTTCTAATGTCTCTAGCAATTCAACCTGACTAAGTGTGCACTTTACTGAGGGGGTTTTAAAAAAGCTCAGCATTGAGGTAAACTGACACACCACTCCACGGGGCTGTCTAAGTCTCCATAGATAAATTAAACAGGCCTAGTCTTGTGCTGGTGCAGAAAGAGGAAAAGGAGCAGGGAATGGGAAGAGGAGGGATTTTGTTGCTAAGAAAATCTAGACTTTTTTCCCAGATTATTTCATTTTATAGATATGTAAACCCTAAGTGAAGAAACCTAGTGGGGATATTTGGAGGATGACTGGGCTTAGAATGAGGGTAGAAGAGAGGCAACAAGGGGTGTGATTGAGCTCTCAACCTTGGCTTCTCTGTTCTACTCAGTTCTTTTCAGCAGCCAAGCATTTTTCTAAAGTTATTTGATCCCTTTCAATTCCAGTCTTTTCATCTGTAAAATGAGGATAAAAATAACATATACCTCGTAGCTTTATTTTGAGCATCAAATAATGTAAAACATGTGCAGTGCTTAGAACAATGCTTGTACATCACAAGAACAAGCTATTATTTATAATGATGATGATTCATTATGATTATGGTTATGATTATGTTAGCTGGAATTAAAGAGTGTTTTCATAACACAGAAGATGCTGGGGTCAAGGGGTAGAGCTGGAGGGTGGGGAATCTGGTAGAAAAGCCTGTTGAAATTCTAAACTGGTCCACCAAATGAACATTTTTATTCCAAATTTAGTTATGAAATTGGATACCTGTATACAGGTTTTTCTTAGGATTGCAACAAAATGTAATAAAGTAATTTTTCAACCTAAGGGATGAGTAGATGAAAGAGAAGTAAAAGGAATATGTCATAATCCAATAAAATGTGGTTTGAAGAATAGTCCCATCCTTCTACCCATTCATGCCCAGTGGCCTCAGGGTGTTTTGACTTCTGACCTCAAACTCTGCTCACAAAACCATTTGTGGACCCAGTGCAGGGTGAGTCATTGGTTCGAAACATGTGATGCATCCCAAGTATAGCTATCAATCTTGCATTCATCACTATCATGACCCACTGCCTAGTTCGGTGCATAACGCATGTTGAGAGGCTTGGGAGTATTTATTTCCTAAAATATTAGATACTAGAGCAAGTATTTAATCCTCTTAACCTTTTAAAGCATGTATTATCATCCACATGTACTGACAATAGAACTGAAGTTCAGAGAGAGGTGTACTTTTCCAAGATCACACAACTGAGAGTAAAAACAGGGTTTAAGCTCTGACCTTTCTTTCATCTTAATATTTTGCAACATTTGTTTGGAAGAAAACAAACAAAAGGAAAACCCTCCTACTGCTTCTCATTGCACTAAGAAGTGATTAGATTGACATTTCAGTTCCTGCAAAGATCTCATACCCTCCACCTTTCAAACTTCCTTTCCCACTTGTTTCTTATGCTTGTTGTATCTCTGACCAAGTCAGAAACTCTTGCTGATTCACTGAAATTGCTACACGTTTTAGTCTTGCTCTTGGCTCCACTGACTAGAATATCTCTTCCACCACCACACATCTCTATTAAGCCTTTTCTGACCTCCAAACTAGGAGGGAATTTGCCCCCTTCTTAATCACTATAGCATATTCTTTGTGCCTATATTAAAGCATTTTTAATTTGTTAATTAAAAATTAACAATTGATGTGACTGCTGTATTATCCTTGAGAACTTAAGAGGAGGTAATCACAACTTAGACATCTCCATGATGGCTAAAATAAATAGTTTCTGCAGCTTCTAATTGTCTTGAATGAAGGTGTAGTAAAGAACTATTAACTGAGAGAATGAGCATAGGAGACCATTTCAGAGGTGGTCAGGTAGAAGAGTGAAATCTACTTTCAAGTACTCAGCCAGTTATGGCATCACTTGGGTTCTAATACTTTTTTACAGGGCCTGATAATGTCCTTCAGGTATGATACGTGATTTGAGCCAGCATGTAGGTGGGATATAGAAGTCTAGGAACCCAAGACTGGAAACAAGAATGGCTCCTTTCACTAACCTAATAAACCACTAGAAAATTTTGGCTTTTCATCATCAAAACTTTGGGTTCTGCTTTTCTAAAACAGAAAGGTGTTACTATAAGGGTTTCATTGACCTGAAAGTTGAGACTGACATCTGACCACTATGCACTCCTCGTGTAGTGACCCACCAGCCAAAGAAGCAGTTTATGTATTGGCTGGGTAATTAATCTTGAGTATCGGGGAAACAGGGGTACTATCACACAATGGGGCATAAAGGAGCATGACTGAGACCCAAGGGATTTTCTGGGGAACCTCTTAGTGCCTCCATATCTCAGAGTAAAAGTTAGTGAGCAACTATGATAACACAACACAAGCAAAAACATTAAAAGCACAGACTCCCAGAACTAGACCCATAACCATCTGGGGTGCTGGCTAAGAACAAAGGGAAAATGAAATGAACAGTGGACAAAGAAAGTCACCAATTGCAGTCACAGCCTCATAACCAGTTGAAAAAAATGAGAACTCGAATGATTATTCACAATTTTATTCCTTTAATGTGTATTATTTTTATACATATGTAATATTTTTTTCCATTCTCCAACTCACTTTCTATCTGATGTAAGTTGTGTTAATAGCAGTTAACTGCATAAGTCAGTATTTAAATTGAAGGATAACAAGACAGTTGTGACCTCACTAGAAGAGTGAAAAATATCACACACTGGGGATAAAGCAGCATGAACAACTTAGTGTCTCCACTTTGTGGGAAGGTGAGGATGGTTTTGGTTTTAGTTAGAAGGCTGCATCTTATATTATTCTGGTCTATATCAGAAGCTAAATAATATGGGTTAAAAGGGTGGTGTAGATGCTAAGTTGACAATAGAGTGGGCTGTAATAGACTGTTAGAATCCAGTCTTTCACTAGATCTTCCATGCAATGGCCATGTGAATATATTTCACAAACCTGCAACTACAAGGAAATGAGCAAGAGCCTCTGTTGTGTGCTCTGAAATCCGTTGCCAAATTTGCGCTGAGACCATACTTCCCGTGAGCTGCTTCCAGCCAATTAAGGAGTGTGGTGGGAATATAAGGCAGACATCCTTCTGGGAGACCTGAGGTTCTTCCAAAGACTAAATCTGGCTTGAAGACTTTCTGACACCTTGGCAAACCATTAGATTGCAAGGTTATCTGTCCCATCTAGCCTTGTCTCCTTCTGATCCTAGCTTTGATCAGAAGAGGATCATGGTCTGACGGCTCTCTCAGCCTTCCCTAGAACCCTCTCTATTTTTGTCTCACAGTCATTTCCCCTAATAAAAACTATTTTTGACTCCAACATGGAGTCTACTTCTTAGAGGACCTGGACTAATACATCCCCATTCTGAGATCTCCTCTGTAATGCAGTGTGGAAGCTAGGAGCTACATTTTCAAGATACTTCTTTCCTGTATGGTTCTGGGTTAAAGTTTATTACAAAATTACTTGCATGGTGTCTAGAAGGCAGGATGAGGGAGAGGGCATTATATTTTCAAGCTATTGTGAGCAAAAATAGTGGCTTCATGGACATCGATGAGCTTTTTCTTTATTGCAGTAAACTGGGGAAATGATGGGATCCTTCCCAAAGACTTAAAATTTGCAGTGGTTTACCTGAATACTTTTGAAAATCAGCCAATTTAGTGTTTCAAGGATTGGAGAGGATGTTTACAAACACTTATCATATCTTTGCTTTACAAGAAAACAACTTCTTAACTGATCAAGAACCCAGATCATATGAGGTAGAGGGGAAAGTTGTTTTAAAAAGTAGGTTCATATACTTAAAGAACTGACCTCTATGTTATTTAGAAGAAAATATTTATGTTCTCAAAATCAAATAAAGTTTAAAAATAAAGGGATAAAATTTGTAATCTGAATTGACCTTATTGTAGAATTTCAGTGAACATTATATACAGACAAGTTCTGATAAAACAATTTTATCTAGATTTATTTGTCTAGGGGCAGAAGTACAGGATCACCAAGCCCTCCAAATTACCCTCCATGTGTACACCTGCCTCCTTTTAATGACTTACCAAATAAGCATACATAGCCATGCTTTAAGACAAGATTCTTTGTTTCTTACTTTGAGATAAATCATCTCATTCCATACCAAAGAAAAATACAATACTATTCCATTACTAATTTCAGAAAAAGGCAGTATCTGAGAAAATAACAATAATTCTCCCTAGGCTGAAAATCTAAAGAAGCCAAAAGTCACCCTTGGAAACCTTCATTGCTGGTAAATGGATTGTATTTATGTTTCATGCTTCATCTTTTCCCTCTCAACTGAAACATTAAGAAATTTCACCAAACAACCTGGCCTATTTGTCTAACAGCACCCCAATGGTTATATATCATTCTTTGGACCTTGACCTCAGAAAAATCTTTTCTTTTTTTTTTTTTAACTTTTCCCTTCAAGGTTAGCAAGTAATACAAAGAATGGTTTAAAATAGGATCTAACAGGCATGGTGGGTCATATCATAGACAGTCCTGGGCATCTACTACTTTTAAAGAATAAAATAAGAACTCAGAAGCCAAGGAAATTAGAAAATGCCACATTCTCACCCTCCAGTGCAGTAAACCAAAAGCTTTATCCTTTCCCTGGGGGTGTTACAGAGATTAGTGCCACCACCAAAAGCTGCAAGGTGCAAGAATATGTGACTTCAGGCTCATTTAACTCACCTGTTTGCCTGGTACAGGATCCATTCTGCTTAGAGAGTGAAGGTAGATTGTTGTAAATTTCATCAGGTGGTGGGGCCTATTGTGGCTATAGTTCTGCAAGTGGGACCTACTGGCACAAATCAACACAGCTTCTGTTACTTGATACACAGATATTGGCTGAACACACGCTTTGTTTTCAGTCCACATCAACAAACATAATCCAAGGCAATTTGCTTTCGGGAAGCAGAGACAGCAATTTATCTTTACTTTGTAAGCTCAGAGATTTGAGAGCTCCCCAGTTCACTGTCTGGAAAACGTTAAAAACTGGATATTGGGATGGGCATGTTGGCCCTTACCTGTAATCCCAACACTTTGGAAGACCAAGGTAGGAGGATCACTTGAGGTCAGGAAGTTTAAAAAGTAAAGGGATAAATAAAGTTTAAAAATAAAGGGATAAAATTTGTAATATGAGTTGACCTTATTACAGACTTTCAGAGGACATCACATATAGACAAGTTCTGATGAAACAATTTTACCCAGATTTATTTATCTAGAGGCGGCAGCACAAGATCTTCATCATGATGAAAGATCATGTTACCCAGACCAGCCTGGATAACATAGCAAGACCCCACCTGTACAAAAATTAATTTTAAAATTAACTGGGCATGGTGGCGCACACCTGTAGTCCCAGCTACTTGGGAGGCTGAGGTAGGAGGATTACTTGGAGTTCTATGCTACAGTAAGCTATGATCACACCACTGCACTACAGCCTGGGTGACAGAGTGAAACCCCATCTCAAAACAAAACAAAACAAAAAAACAAAAAAAAAATAAACAAAAAACTGGATATCTCATAGGAGACCACATTAGTTCATTACATTAAGAATAATTATCCCAATTCATCCCAGTTATTTATTATTGTTACCGTATATTCCTATATAACACACATTCATGCCAGAAGATGAGACAGGAACCCCCAAAAGCCCAGGCCTGCTGCATTGCTGAAATTCTAGTGGCCCAGTGACAGGAGGTATGTTAAAACTCCCTTCTACAGTGGAAAACAAGTCTCTGCAGCTGTACCATCCATCTAACACACAGAGGGACACAATACAAAGCTGAGAAAATTCGATAAATCAGGAATTCACCAAAATGCAGCAGATACATTTGGATGCCTCTTAACTTATACTAATCAATAGGAAACTGAAGCCATCCAACAAAGTCAGGACCACCAAAGACCCAGCGGTTGTGAAAATTATGTTGTGGTTCATCCCATCTAATAAAGAACTCTATCCAAAGAAATCGCTGACAGAGATCAAAGGGACCATGAAATCAGTGACAGAAAAGAAAGCTTTAATTTTTAATTTAGACTTTAAGAGCAGCTACAAATGTAGGACTGTTACACCTGTATTTTATTTTAATCAATTTTTTTAATGATACCCCCTTTTCCCATTTTTATGTAATACAGAGCATATTAATGAAGGCTCATATTTTGGTCTTTGTGGCTAAATATACCTGAAATTACACCACGTGGTGATGACGTGTTAACAGATAAACAGGCACATTGGAAATGTAAAGAGTTTATTTGAGCAGACAGCCATTCATGAATCAGGCAGCTACAGACGACAGGCATTTCAGGACTCCATCAAAAAGGGCACAAGGGGAAGGCTTTATAGGGTGAATACAGATGCAAGACAAAGACACTATTGGATGGGTTAATGTGGAACAGTAGTCTTTTATAAATCATTCCAGTGGAAAGATCTTGATTGGAGGTTAGTTGGCAGTTTCTGGTAAAGTTTAAGTTTCTTTTACAGTTTACCCTGTGTTGGGTTTCAGTTTGTTTACATAGGAACCCAGGGAACTGAAGTGTCCTCAGTCTAATGGTTTCCCAATTCATTATTTTAACATATGATCGTTGATAGGATGTAGTCCTTTATGTAAGGGAACTAAGCCATATAATCTCAATATAATCTCAGTTTGCCACCCCATCCCTACCAATTTCATTCTTCATCCTTTCTACCCTGCTGGAAAGTAGGATAAACTCTACAGGCTGCCTGAACCCTCTTGCCTCTGATTAGGTTCAACCAATCACAGGCAACCACAGGATATCCTAGGACAGATTTATGCCTCTGATCTTTTCCTGTCTGGCCAGCAATTGGCAGAAGCTGCATTTCTCAGCCCAGGGCCCACATTTCCTTCCCCCAGCATCCCTATTCTGCAGCCATAACTCTCCCCCAGTTTTCATAACCACTCCCATTACATCCTCCTTCAGGTTGGGAGATAACTACTTTATCAATGCCAACTATTTTATCAATGCCTGAGGGTTCCCATTAACCCTGCCAACATCTTTGCAAACAGTTCCTTCCTTAAATTATCTTCAATTATACCTTTTGAATGTGCCATTTATTTCCTGCTGTGATTTTGACTAGGACAAATTTCATCCTTTATCCATCCTGGAATTCTGTATTTCTTTTTAGTTCATGCTTTCTCTTATCTCTAGGGTTTGCTTAGGCTTTTTCTCTTGCCTGGAAGATTCTCCTCCAAAGCATATCATTAAGTACACCGTATTATATGTCTTCCCTAACTTAAGTTCTATATGCACAGTGAGTATATTTATCTTACCTGTCCTCATGTCCCCAACACCTCTCACATATTTTGGCATAAAATAGGCACTCAATCAATAGCTGGAATAAATGATGCCATGCTCCCAGCTGCTCCATCCAGAAAATGTTACCTTACAACATTTTTTTTCATAAAAGGGTTTTGTACAGGGAAAGTGTTTACAATTTATTTACATAATCTGTCCTGGTTTCATTTAGCATATTCTCAATTCAACTGAATGTCATCCTATTTGTTCCTGAGGTGAATGTTTCTCTGCTTCCAAGACCACCTGAAGTTTTCAGGACAAAAGGGAGATTGTGATGATGGATGGCGGACAGCTCAGAATCTGAAGAATCTGGGTTCCCAAATGAGAGATTTCAAACGTTGCAGATTGACTTCTGGTCTCAGCTCCCACATGTAAAGTGTTTGGGAGTTCATGCCTATTTTTATAACTATTAAAAACTGAATAGTTTTATAACTATTAAAAATGATCAAGCCCATTTTTATAACTATTAAAAACTGAAAAAACTAAAAAGCAATGACTTTTCTTGGACCCATTAGACAGCTGAGTTTGATGGAAAAAGTTATAGCCCCAAATCTGGAGAAAGAGTCACATTAAGGTGTTCACAGTAGTGATATGCTTACCTAGAGAAGAGGTTGCTGGAGCCCATTACTGGCAGGGACAATTAAAGTAAGAAATTCCTGAGGCCTGCAGTTTTAAGGGATCCCTCAGACTTGTGTGTTTTACCACATGGTGCAGATTTAAGAAAGATTATCTTGACATGTGAAGGCAAAGTAATCATTTTGAAATTCTGTACACCCAAGAGTGTTCTCCATAACTACTCTCCAGGGATAAAGGCTTTCCTAAGCCCCTATTCTATGTGGGGAAAAGTACTGTTTTCACAGCAGGTGCTCCAGTTTTCCTGTATCACCTAAGGGGAAAATGAAGCTATAACAAAGGAGAAGTATTCGTGAAGGTCACAGTCTGAAAACCCATGCCCACTGAAAAACCGAAATTAAATCATAAGATTATAGAACTCTTTCTCCCCCTTTCTTGCCACCACACCTATTCATGGTAAAAAATTCTCAGCAACCTGGAATAAAGGAGAACTTTCTCAACTCGATAAAGAACATCCACCAAAAAACCAAACAACTAGCATCATACTTAATGGTAAGGTACTGGATATCTCCCCAACTAAAATCAGTAGCAAGGGAATGATGTCCTCTCTTATCACTGCTATTCAACATAGTACTAGAAGGCTTAGTTACTTTCATCAAACAAGAAAAGGTACATAGATTGACAAGGAAAAAATAAAACTGTCATTGTTCCCAGGTGACAGGATTATCTACTTTGAAAATTTCTAAGAATTGACAAGAATACTCCTGGAACTAATAAGTAAGTAAAGTAAGGTTGTAGGATACCACTTTAATATATTGAAGTCAATTGCTTTTCTATGTATCATCAATAAACAATTAGAATTTGAAATGAAAGAAAAATACCATTTATAAAGCACTCAAAAATTAAATACATAAGTACATATCTAACAAATTATGGATATTTTGCATATAAAAATCTCCACAACTCTGATTATTTTATAAATCAGAGAGTATTTGAATAAATGGAGAGATATTTTGTGTTGATGCATTGGAAGATTCAATGTTATTAGGACTTCAGTTCTTCCCAACTTTATCTACAGATATAACAAAATTGTAATCAAAATTCCTGGATGATATTTTGTAGATATTGACATAAATTGATTTTAAAGGTTATACGGAAAGACAAAATATCTAGAATAGCCAATTCAATGCTAATAAAGAAAAACAAATTTGGGAAACTCACACTATCCTGATTTCAATGCCTACTATAAAGTTACAGTAATCATCACAGCGTGGTATTTATGAAAGAATAGACAAATAGATCAATGGAACAGAATACAGACTCACGAAAAGGTAGTCAAGTAAAGTTGGATGATATAGCAAAAGAAATACGGTTGAGAAAGGGCAGTCTTTTCAACAAACAGTGCTAGAACTATAGAATGCCCATATGCCAAAGTCACAAAAATTAACTCAAAGTGGATCACAGACATTAATGAAATATAAAATGCAGTGCTATGTAACCTGTGGAAGAAAATGTAGGAGAAAAATCTAGATGGCCTTGGGGTTGATGTTGAGTTTTTAGACACAACACCAAAAGCAAGATCCAAGAAAAAAGTAAGTTGGACTTTATTAAAATTAAGACTTTCTGCTGTGTAAAAAGACACTGCTAAAAGAACATAGGCACAGCCACAGCCTGGGAGAAAATGATTGCAAAATGTATATCTGACAAAGGACTTGTTTTCAAAATATACAAAAAACTCTTAAAACTCAACAATAAGAAAACAAACAACCCAATTTAAAAATGGGCAAAAGTCCTGAGCAGACACATTACCAAAGAAGATACACAGATGGCAACTAAACATTTGAAAAGATGCTCATCTTCATTTTTTGTTAGAGAATTGCAAATTAAAGCAACAATGAGATGCCACTAACACCTATTAGAATGACAACAACAACAACAACAACAAAACAGAAAGTAAAATGAACAATACCCATTGCTGAGAAGGGTGTGGAGTAATAGTAACTGCCATCACATTCATTACTGGTGTAATGTAAAATTATACAGTCACCTTGGAAGACAATTTGACAATTTTTAAAAAAGGTAAACATAATCTTACTATAAGATCCAGCTATCATGCTCCAAAATATTTGCCCACACTAAAACCTGCACTCAAATGTGTATAGCAGCTTTATTCATAATCACCAAACACAGGAAGCAACCAAAATGTGCTCCAATATATGAATAGATAAGCAAGATGTAATACATTTAAACAATTGAATGTTTTTCAGCATTAAAAGGAAACAAGCTATCGAACCACAAGAAGACATGGATGCATCTTAAGTGCATATTGCTAAGTGAATGAAGCCATTCTGAAAAGGCTGTATGTTGTATAATTCCAATGAGATGAGATTCAGAAAAGAGCAAACCCATAAAAAGAGACAATAATAATAATAATAAAAGACCAGTGGTTCCAGGGGTTTGGTGAAAGAAGAGAGAAGGTTGAGTAGGGGAAGCAAAGAGATTCTTTAGAGTAGCAGAACTATCCTGTGTGATACTGTAATAGCTAATACATGACACTATGCATTTGGCAAAACTTACAGAACTGTACAGCACTTAATGTATGCAAATTAAATAAGCATCATTGAGGAGGACTGGAGAAGCCCAGGATAGAATACAGAATGTGACCCAAAAAACCAACTAACTGTATTACAAATGTATGAAACAACCTCGCTGTACAGGATGGGAAGAAACTGCTGACCTAAATAACCTGGAAATTAGTGAAATCTGTAAAACTAAAGGCAAAATTACCTATATACAAGAATTGTATTCTAGTTGATCAAATTGTCCCATATAAATACTGATTAATAATTCTTTTTTTTTTTTTTTTTGGAAACAGAGTCTTGCTCTGTCACCAAGGCTGGAGAGTGCAGTGGTGTGATCTAGGCTCACTGTAACCTCCGCCTCCCAGGTTCAAGTGATTTTCCTACCTCAGCCTCCTGAGTAGCTGGGATTACAAGCACCCTCCACCACACCTGGCTAATTTTTGTATTTTTAGTAGAGATGGGGTTTCTCCGTGTTGGCCAGGCTGATCTCTAACTCCTGACCTCAGGTGATCCACCCGCCTCGGCCTCCCAAAGTGCTGGGATTACAGGCGTGAGCCACCATGCCCGGCCAAATACTAATGGCTAATGATTAATGATTCTAATGCTTCTACATGTATGCTATATTTGAACAATTAAATAAATGGATGATGAGCCAGGTTTCTTGCCGGTTGATTTAGAAGTTACAGATAAGTGAGGGAAGGAGACTAGAAGGATTCATGTGGTAAAGGGTTAGAATTGGAAACAGCATGCACTCATGTTTAACTTAAATAAAGATACAGGTGGTTGCATGTAGCAATATGTGTAGACATGTATCCATATATAGAAAATGTATGTCCATACACATCTATCCTCTTGCTCTGTCAGCTGAGGGGGCCTCAGAGCAAGAACACACCTGCAGCAAGTTGTGCTTGTAGCACCCAGACATTAGTTCCTAATCCTTTTCTTCAATAAAAAGAGTGAGGTCAACCTTAACAAAGGACTGAATCTAGACCTAGGTTTGGAAATACACAAGATGAGCCTGGAGCATCTTGGAGTGCCCAGAAGTGAGGAATTGCAAAAAGAAAACAACAACAACAAAAAGAACAGTGAAAGGGGACAAGAAGTCAAAGTGGCACAGTAGCCAACAGAAAGTGCTTCCAATGGTCAAAGCTGGAACAATTTGAACAAAAAAATAAAGTAGTATTGTATTATCACCCAAGGTATAAAATAAATAAATGTGAGTGCATACTGATATAAATGAATGATAGGATAAATAGATGAGGCAGAAGACTTTCAAATAATTTATGTAGACACTCTGCCCTCAAAGAGGTGGGTTACAATTCCCTTTCCCTAATTGTGGGCTGTACATAGTGACTTCCTTCCAAAGAGTACAGTATGGAAAGAGGGGAGATAAGAGTAACTTTAAGGTGGAAAAAAGCTGACAAACATTATCTCAGCCAGTTGACCAAGGTTAGCATCAACAGTGATAAGTCATATTGTTTGTATGAACCCTTGGTAGGATGTGATGGCAATGGCACTTTAATCTCTGTAGTCTTCCTCTCAAGAACTCACACCCCACTCTAATCATGACAAAAGCATCAGGCAAATCCTATTTAAGGGTTCTTCCATAAATTACCTGTCCAATCTATCAAAACTATCAAGGTGCTAGAAAACAAGAGGTGTCTGAGGAACTCTTGCAGCCAAGAGGAACCTAAGGAGACATGATGACTAAATGGTATGCAGTATTCTGGATGAAATCCTGGCATAGAAAGGACTTAGGAAAAGACTAAAAAAATGTGAATAGGCTGGGAACAGTGGCTCATGCCTGTAATCCCAGCACTCTGGGAGGCTGATGCGGGCGGATCACCTGATGTCGGGAGTTCAAGACCAGCCTGACCAACATGGAGAAACACCGTCTCAACTAAAAATACAAAATTAGCCAGGCATGGTGGTGCACGCTTGTAATCCCAGCTACTCAGGAGGCTGAGGCAGGAAAATCGCTTGAACCCAGGAGGCAGAGGTTGCAGTGAGGCCAGATAGTGCCATTGCACTCCAGCCTGGGCAACAAGAGCAAAACTCTGTCTAAAAAAAAGAAAAAAACAAAACAAAACATGAATAATGCATAGACTTTAGTTAGTTAATACAATATAAGCAAATGATTAATTTTATCAAAAAATGTCACAATAAATGGCACTTTCAAGTCTTTATTTATACTAATCTCCCAAGCTGAAATGCTATGACCTCCTCCTTCAGGATTTCTGAGGTGCATTCATTCTTCAAACTTAAGATGGAAACCCACCTTTTTCACCAGTCGTAGCCCTACCACTCTAAACTCCAGTGATCTCTCACTCTGAGGACTCAGTGTTATAATAGATGTAACACCACTTAGTCACTACTTACATGTTATAACTTTCCTCTCTATTCTATTAGTGTCTATATCGTGGCTTCCTGAAATGGTCTCAAGGAAAGTGGCTATGTCTTTGTAAACTTACTTTTATATGGCAATCATTTTTTAATACAATTCAAGGTTGTGACAATTAAATTTTGTTGATTAATTCACAAAAACCATAAATAGTATGTCCCAAGATCCCTTTTCAGGCTCAAGGGTATGTATATCACTAGGTATCATTTTCCTGTGCATGTGACCTATTGGTTTTGAGATTTACAAGACTGGAAAAAAAATTAACTGATCTTTTCTTTCAAAGGACTCCAGAGAACTCTAATAATAATTATAACAGTTTAACTCTTCCGTCCCTTAACAAATCAAATTTTTCCAGAAGCTTCAGTCTTAACCCCCGATATTCTCCCACATTGACGATGTGCTCCAAACAGAAGAAATAACTCAGTTTATTGGCGAGAGGGAGAGAAGATGAGTGAAGATTTCCCCGCTCTTCTCTACCTCTGTGGATTCTGAAGTGAACTTCACTCTGTCCAAACCACTTCCTCAATAAAGCCACTCCTAACTTTTTTTCTCCTTCACCTAGTAAAACTTAGATACAATCCCTCACCATTCTTTGATAGTATTTTGAAGTTTGTATCACATTATTTTGAAGTGACTATTGTAATACTCATTTTGTTGATGTAATTATGTTTACCAACCTATTTCCTCAACTATATTGTGAGACTGTCAGTAACAAGAAATGTATATTCTTCATCTTTATAGCCCCTGTAACCCACACAGTAGTTTACATGTAATACGTCTTCAGATGAAGACTTTCTTATTGAGTAAATGAATTAATAATAACAAATGTAGCATGTCTAGAAAAGAATGTATTTAAGCATATATGAATCCCAGGGACCTAGAGATTCATAGAAAGTTGGCATTATTGATATAATTCCTACGACATTCCAGAAAATGCAACTTTTCCTAAGAAATGCTTTGTGGAAACACTCACTAACCTCAGTGAAGAAACTGTAGCTTTAAAGCACATGGTTTAGGGATGCTAAGCTGCAGATATGACCCTTCTTTGTTACTGTACCTTGTATATTACTTATTACTTTACACTTTATGTGAGTACTTTATATTCTATAATTGACCTGTGCCTGGCTATCATAAACCTGTCCTGTCCTCCACACAAATCTTGAAAGAAGCATCAATGTAAAGCCGAAATTACCTTTTTCAGTTCCAAGGTCCCTTTGAAATTTCTCTATATTTTATAAGAATTTGAACCAGCTGAGAAAATGGCCCTATCTCCTATAAGCTTCCAACCCTACCAAATAAAACTTGCATGCACTTTGATTAAGTGGTTGATGCCAGGACTAGACTGACACATAAGCAGATAATTGCTTTCAAGATGTGACTTAATATCACAGAAGGGTAAAGCTGGAAGTAATTTCCCATCACCCATTTGGCACACATTCAGAGAGCATGCCAGTTGTGTGCAGATGTGATGCTGGGCTCTGGGACCTGATAGCACAAGCCCAATAGTTCCACTGCATACAAGGGAGGACAGAGGTCCAAATGGGTAAGTTGATTCTCCCCAGTCACCAAGCTAGTGATTGACAGAGGAAAGACTAGAAGCTGGGTCTGAAAGCTTTCTCATTCATTCTACTTTTCTCAGTGAGAAGTGCCTGGCGAAGTTCTCTAAAAGGAAATGCCTACTCTTTCCAGAGAGCCCTCGGGACTGAAATTCAGCCATTCACTCCTTGAGTTAAGCTCTTCTCTCTCAAATTCTCCTATGAGAAGTAAGAAACTAAAATTAAAACTTGTAATTCCTTCGAATAAATTAATTCTTAAGTGTGGAAAAATAGTGCAACATAGAGATACTGAGCATACAATGAGAAATAGATAATTAAAAGTCAGAATAAAGTGCAGGAAGGAAAGAAAATCTAGACGAAGCACTGAGGCACAGATGCCAACTGTTTCATGGCTTTGCCTCAGGTCAACCCGACCTTTTTCAAAATATAGTAATTAGCTTGCTAGAGTCTGAGCCCCTGGTTTCTCTGTGGGAAGATTTCTCTATGGTTTATTAAACTTCATTCTCCTGTCTATGAGTAGGTGGATTTAGTGAGAAATAACCTATGACATAAAGTTTGCTGATGATTAACAGAGTTACTTCAGGAGTGTAGACTCTGGAACCCAAAGAACAAAATGTTACAAGTATTGATTGCAATGTTTTCCCTTGTTTTGTGTCAGAAACATCCACAGGAAGAAACGACATTTAAGAAAGTCATCTTTTTAAAATAACCAAGACCAGAAGAAATTATAGCAAAAGCACAAGCTTTCTGATAAGAGACAGCTAAAAAGTGGATTAGACTTGTGCCTGGATTTTTTTTTTTTTTTTTTTTTTTTTTTACCTATTAATTGATTAGGAAAAATAGGTAGACCCTGAGTGAAAGTAGAAAAGAACCATTCTGGTAAAAATTCTGAAAGTAGAAAAGAACCTTTAGCTTTAAAGGTATGTCTTAATAGAGCAGTGCTAAGACAGGTGGTTAGGTATGTGAATGCATGCCACTTAGAAAAGAATATGAAGGAGAAGGGACCAAGAAGGCAGATACATTGCCCCTGATAAAGAAGTCATTTTTCTCTCACCTTTACATAAATATCAGCCACTAAAAATCTAGGAGCACAAATAATGAAAGCGAACCCTGTTCGCTCTGTTTGTGGAAGGTCTCATGAGTACTGCAGTGTGCCCTGGTTGCTGCCTATGGCCTTCTGCTTGAAGCATTCAGCATTGGAATGTAGTGTCAGAAAAGGCAACTTCTGTGCAAGAACTATGACAAATTAATCCTCTGTGGGCCTTATCTGCCACATTCACTTGGAGTCCCCATTTCAGTGCTGGACAAAAGCCTCCTCAGAGTCCAGATATATTTGGAAGCTCAGTTTTGAAGGGGACAACAAGAAAGGTGGATTGAATACTGTCTTAGTCTATTTTCTGTTTCTACAACTGAATATCTAAGACAGGGTAATGTATAAGGAAAAGAAATTTATTTATCACAGTTCTGGAGTCTGGGAAGTCCAAGGTAGTGGTGGGAGCATCTTGTAAGGAACTTCTTGCCGGTGGGGACAATCTGCAGAGTCCCAGAGTGGCACAGGGCATCACATAATGAAGAGGCTGAGTGTGCTAGCTTGGATCTCTCTTCCTTCTCTTATAAAACCACTAATGCCCCACCCTTATGACCTCATCTAATCCTGCTTACATATCAAATGTCCCACCTCTCAAATACCGTAGTCAGATTTCCCACCCTCTTAATACTGTTATTACAATGGAAATTAGGTTACAATGTGAGATTTGGAGAGGACAAACATTCAAACCATAGCAGATACTCTTTGACCCCAATTTATTTAGAAATGCAAACTTGTCTTCTAGGGAAGAATTTCTTGTCAAAGGGTAGAGAACATCTATTCTTTGAATTGGAGTCTCTGTATTTGCTGGGAGTTTTCATGAGAAGTATAACATTACACAACCCTAAATTACAAACAAACTGGAAGATGTTTGGTATTCTGCTGATGCTAAACCTATACATTTTTTCTTTTGCTTGTTTCTTTCTTTGGCTTTTAATTATGGAGGAATTTAACAAAAACATGTAGACAAAAGTACACATGGATCTGTTCATGTATCCATCACTGAGATGCAGAAAGATGCAGAATCATAATTGTTTGCCAACTTTGTTTCATCTCTTTTTTCCTACTTCTTTCCCTACTTGCAAAGGATTATTTTAAAGCAAACTTTAGACATAATATCATTTCGTCATAATAAACTTGTCTTTGCATAACCTATATTTTTTTCCTTTTTTCTCTTTCTTTCTCTTTCTTCTTTCTTTCTTCTCTTTTTTCTTTCTTCTTCTTTTCTTTTTTTTTTTTTTTGAGAGTGTCTCATTCTGTTGCTCAGGCTGGAGTGCAGTGGCATGATTATAGTTCAATGAAGCCTCGATCTCCTAGGATCAAACGATTCTCTCACCTCAGCCTCCTGAGGAGATGGGATTGCTGGCGTGTGTCACTGCACCCAGCTATTTTCAGAATTTTTTTTTGTAGAGACAGGCTCTCACTAGGTTGCCCAGGCTGGTCAAACTCCTGGTCACAAGCAATCCTCCCATCTCAGACTCTCAAAGTGCTGAGATTACAGGCATGAGCCATCACACCCAGCATAGCCTATATTTCTTAAGATATATTTAACTGGTATAGGGTAAGTTGGTTGGCTCTTCTGGCGATCAGGTGCTACATTCTTAGACAGAACGCCCTCTTCTCTATGCCCAGAATTATTTCTTCTGTTGACAGTGATATGCCTAAGGGCTTATGATTTGGAAGTTCAGGAAGAAACAAGAAGAGAGATGGGATGACAACATGGGGCCTGTTTTCTGCCTGGCCCCTTAGACTGTAGAGTCTCTTTGGTTTGAGCTAGGGCAGACAGTGGATGGAACAATTTTCACGTAAGACTCACACTCAGCGTAGCACAGGCAATATTGCCTAGAGGAGTTATTTGGGGAAACATTGAAAACACTGATCAAAATAAATACAGTCAGTCCTCTGTATCCATGAGCTCTGCATTCATGGATTCAACCAGCCACAGATAAAAAACATTCGAGGGGAAAAAAGCAAAAATAATAACAATACAACAATAAAAAATACAATTGAAAAACAATATAGCATAATGACTATTTACATAGCATTTACATTGTACTAGGTATTATAAAAAATCTAGAGATTATTTAAAGTAAAATGGAAGATATTCATAGGTTGTATGCAAATACTAGGCAATTTTATATCAGAAACCTGAGCATCCAAAGATTTTGGTTTCTGGGAGAATTTCTGGAACAGATTCTCCACGGATCTGAGGGATGACTGCACTGCTTTGGAACTGCTATGTGACATTAAGCTTCGTGGAAAGTCACTGTTCTGACTTCTGCATGGAATTCAACAATATTCTGACACTCTGAGATTCATATAGTATCTGGAAATAACTTTATTGGTAGAGTCTTAAGAATTTATACAAAGGAAGCTGGGTGCAGTGGCTCATACCTATAATCCCAGCACTTTGGGAGGCCGAGGCAGGCAGATCACGAGGTCAGGAGTTGGAGATCAGCCTGGCCAACATGGTGAAAACCCATCTCTACTAAAAATACAAAAATTATCTGAGTGTGGTAGTGCGTGCCTGTAATCCCAGCTACTCAGGGGGCTGAGGCTAGAGTATCATTTGAAGCTGGGAGGCAGAGTTTGCAGTGAGCCAAGATTGCACCACTGCACTCTAGCCTTGGCAACAGAGTGAGACTCCATCTCAAAAAAAAAAAAAAAGAATTTATACAATGGGTATTTTCAGCTCTGACAAAAGCATATCCAGGCAGTCATTTACAGATTCTTTTATTTATTCAAAAATGCATTATCTCCTACTGTGTGCCAGGTACGTTTTATGTTAGAAGGGTCATAGCAGAGATCAAGCTAAAAGGTTTTTTGCTTCCATTTTAGAAAAAAAAAAGACAATATGCTTTAAATATATAATATGATGCCAAGTAGATAAATGCTATAAAACTGAGAGCAAACCAAATTAAAAAGAGAATAACTTCAGGCTGAGGATGGTCTTTAACACAAGGTGATCATGGAAGGCCTCTATGAGGAGGCTTTTTTTTTTTTCTTTTTGACAGAGTCTTGCTCTGTCGCCCAGGCTGGAGAGCAGTAGGTGACCTCGGCTCACTGCAAATTCTACCTCCTACGTTCAAGGGATTCTTCTCCCTCAGCCTCCCGAGTAGCTGGGACTACAGCCCCGTGACATCACGCCTGGCTAGTTTTTATATTTTTTTTTAGTAGAGACAGGGTTTCACCATGTTGGCCAGGCTGGTCTCGAACTCCTGACCTCATGATCCACCTGCCTCAGCCTCCCAAAGTGCTGGGATTACAGGCATGAGCCACTGTGCCTGGCCGAGGAGACAATTTCTAAAAAGAAACCTGAATGAAATGTGGGGGCAGGGCACACACAGGTGTGAGCAAAGAATATCAGGACTGAAGGAACAGCAAATACAAACTCCCTGAGATTTAGTTAGCTAAGCATATCCAAGGCAAATGCAACTATTGCATAGTGATCAGTGGGTGGAATGGTAAGAGACAAGACCACAGAGGTAGGCTGGGTCCATCTTGTAGGACTCAGGGGGCCACAATAACAAATTTGTTTGTTTGTTTTCATGCTGTGCAGGGTGTCTAGGTGTATAATGACAAAGGTGCCATTCATTTTATAGTCCACACAGCTGAGCAATACATAATCTACATGGGCATGGGCTGTGGGCCTGAGACTAAGGGTTTGAACAACATCTGTTCAGATTTTAAAAAGAAGGCTCTGTTTTCTATGTAGTCAAGTGATTGCAGAGCAATACAATGAAGGCAGACAGGTGGTAGAAGAAGCCACTAGAAGATGGCAGGAGATGATAGGCCTAAGTCTAACCAGGAGATAGTGAAATGTGGTTGGATTGAAGCTACACTATCATGTGGAGCCAATAGGACATAGGACTTGCTGATGAATTAGCTGGACATCAAGTGTGAGTGAAAAGACTTCTGTATGGGGTTCTGGGCAACTGGGCATACAGTGGTGCCCTTTACTGAGGTGGAGAAGAGTAGGTTTGAGAGCGATGGAGACACCTTTAGTTGCTACCAAACCACCTGTCCTTCTTGCTTTCTTTCTTCTGCATCATCAATTTCTCCCTCTCTAATGATTATTCCTATAGGTAAACAAAGGTACAACAATATTGCCCCTGTCATATCTACTGCTGTCATGGCTTCTGTCTGGACCTCTCTGGCTCTGCAGAGTCTGGCCCCTGTAGGTTGCATTTCTCATGCTGAGGTTTCTGGTAGATCTGGAAAATAAGACAAAACTGGGGGAGGTTGGAGGAAAAGAGCAATGAAAATATAAAATATTCCTTTCAGGCTCTCTGCCTCTGGTGGCATCTCTGGCAGAACCAAGACTGAGCCCTTTGGCAAGCAGACTCCATTTAGTTCAGGAAAAGGAGACGAGTCTCAAGAAGGGACTAAGATGGAGTGACCAGTAGAAAAGGAGGAAACAGCTCGGCTTCGTGGCTCACGCCTGTAATCCCAGCACTTTTGGAGGCCGAGGTGGATGGATCACCTGAGGTCAGGAGTTCAAGACCAGCCTGGCCAACATAGTGAAACCCTGTCTCTACTAAAAATACAAAAATTACATGGTGACACAAGCCTATAATCCCAGCTACTTGGGAGGCTGAGGCAGGAGAATCGCTTGAACCTGGGAGGCGGAGTTTGCAGTGAGCCCAGATTGTGCCACTGCACCCCTGCCTGGGCAACAGAGCCAGACTGTGTCAAAAAAAAAAAAAGGAAAGAAAAGAAAGAGAAAGAAAGAAAGAAGAAAGAAAGGAAGGAAGGAAGGTAAAGAAGGGAGGAATCCTAGGAAAGTACATTGTTTCATAAAGCAAGTGAGAAAAGCCTTTCAACAAGAGAGAATAATCAACTGTGCCAAATGCTGCTAAGTCAAGTTTGATAATGACTAAGAATTATCTACTATAATGCACAGTTAATCCCATGAGATGAGCAGCCTGGTTGGATTGGTACAGATGAAAGCCTGCAGGAAAGACTGGGCAGAAAACAGGGAGAAGAAGCAGAAACAAATATTAGTAAATGTTAAGAAAACAGGGAAATGTGGCATAGCTTAAGTAGAATGTAGCATTTAAGACAAAGGTTTCCTAAAGATGGGAGATATATCAGTCAGAGTCTAACCATTAAAACAGAAATCTCTCCCAGCACTTAAAACCAAGGTAATTTAACCAGGTAATGGAAGAACTGAGACACCAACTGAAGCAGATGAAGGAGCCCAGAGATTAGTACCTGCAGGCCACATCTTCTTTCTGTCTAAAGAGACAAAGAGAAGATGTTATTAGAGCTCAAAGTTTGGGGTCATTTGCAGAAGCTGAAACTACAACAGTCATGGCTACTGGGGGCTGGAGCCCAGAAACTTCAGCTTCTACCAAAGATGGCCCACCATTCACCACTCTTCCTGCTGAGCTCAGCATCACCTTGGGTCACCTTAATGACCCAAGGCTCAGTGATTTCAACAATGTCTATACATAGGAATCATCTCAGGAGCCTTTAAAAAATGCCAGGCCAGGTGCGGTGGCTCATGCCTGTAATCCCAGCACTTTGGGAGGCCGAGGTGGGCAGATCACGAGGTCAGGAGTTGGAAACCAGCCTGGCCAACATGGGGAAACCCTGTCTCTACTACTAAAAATACAAAAAAATTAGCTGGACATGTTGGCGGGCACCTGTATCCTCAGTTACTCGGGACGCTGTGGCAGGAGAATCACTCGGACCCGGGAGGCGGAGGTTGCAGTGAGCCAAGATTGTGCCGCAGCACTCCAGCCTGGCTACAGAGTGAGACTCTATCTCGAAAAAAAAACAAAAAACAAACAAAAAAAAACGTGCTCAGACTATACCCCAACTGATTAAATCAGAATCTCTGAAGTGAAGAAAAAAGCATTGGATTTTTTTTAAAGATTCCCCCAAAATTCTAATGTACAGCCAGGTTTGATAACCTCTGCTTGAAATTCTACATTGTAAAAGAGTACTGAATGCTTCCTTGCGCAAAACTGCCTCCAGTTCCTAAATCCAGACCTAAGATATGCATTACAGTAACAAATGGTAGAAACCTTTGAATTAATTTTCTTAATGAAATAGGCTGCCTGAAAGCTCCATCCCTTTAATGCTGTTTTGAGGTTATGAGAGCAAAAGATGAAAAGCCCAGAAACAACATTCTCTGAGTTTCTTCTCACAGTAAACAGAATAATTAAGCGGTGTGGTTACCCACATGGCACTGAGAGACACATCTTCCAGGATGCTGTAAGTCTTAACTCATAGTAGGAGAGAGAGGGAGCGTATGCTAGGTGCACAGGGTAAGAAATTAACACATCTGATCTCTTTTCAACCCCCTAAAATACCTTTCAGAGAGCTCATCTTTGCCCTTCTCTAATTTGGAATATATCATGTGCCTTATAATTAGGGATTCTTTCTTGGTGCCTGAAACATTTGTCACTTTTAGGGAATTGCAATCTTGAGTCTGTGGATCAGAAATAAGCTCCTGGTCTTTTATTGAGAATCCTGCATTTCGAGTAAGTAATTTCCCGAAGCAGCTGGGATTTACTCAGTGTTCTTAGTTATAATTAAATGATAAATCTTCACATGGAAGGCATCCAACATTGAATATGTCAGTTCCATCGAAGCGGAATAGAGCACAAGATACATTTACCTAGGGAAATGATTCCACTTTGGAAAACTCTATTCTCTTGTCAGAAGTCAGATGACAAGCAGTTGCCTATGAACAGTCAATAACAAAAGGCTCTTTAGTGGCTTATGATACATCTTTTACACCCTATGTCTATGCAGTTTTCTGGAAATAATGAGTGGTTCCTTCCTTGCCTAACATTTCCTTATTGGCATCAGCATCCCCCAGGTCTGAATAGGCTTGGCCCTCAGCATTGATTTAGGGATGGCTACCCCATAATGCTCAGCTGGAGTGCAGTGTGCTCCAATGCACACAGATCATTCTCCCTTTCATGACTGTCGCTTAAGCTCTTCACCAAACAAGCATTTTTTAAATACCTGTGATGGCCTGGGCTTGTACTAGGCAAGGCAGGAGGTACAACCTCCCATCTTGACATCTGTGATGCTTTTGGTTCACTTGTCCAGTAAGGCATTGAGAGTTCATTAAGATGGGGAAGGAGAGGAGTTAGAGTTTATGATTCCAATGGTCCTTTCCGAACTGAAAATTATATGGCTCCATGTATATGTGTGTGTGTGTGGGTGTGTGTGTATGTTTATATTTAGTCCTGTTTAATTCACTTTTGTGTCCCATGTGTCCTAGCAAAAGGCACTGTAGCTACTAAGATTCAATAAGTCTTGGCAGAAAATGCATTCCATGAATGAGATAATTATGATTATTGGAAATGCATAGCTTAAAATAAAAAATGGTAGCTGACATATTATTGCTTACTATGTACGGAACACCATTATAAATAATTTAATCCTCATAATAACTAAAAGTGGTGACGGTTATTGTTTTTATTTTTCAAATAATAAATTGAAGATACATAGAAATCAAGCAACCCACCCAAGCACACACAGCTGAGTGGGCAGAACTAGGGCGCATAGTTAGGCTTTCTAGGTTCATTGTTACACCAAAAAAAAAAAAAAAAAAAAAAAAAGCTACTGTCTAGACAGACAGAGTTACCTAGAGTTTGAATTCTCCTAGGTTTTTCTGAATTAAGGCAACACAGGGGCCTGGAAAGAGCTTTATCTTTGGGATCCAACATGCCCAGATTCAACACTTAATAGCTATGTGACCTAGGGCAAGATCATGGATCTTTCTGAGCCTAAACTTTTGGATCAAAATTGTAATTAGACCTATCTTGTAAGTGCATAAATAATTCTGGAGCCAGACTGCATCGCTGAGCAAGATACTTATCCTCTATGTTACTCAGTTTCCTTGTTTGTAAAGTATCATACACCATATAAAACTTAATTACCTCAAAGGTTGTAGATGAAAAATGTATCAACATAAATGAAATTCTTTGAATAATACCTGATGTACAATCAGTGCTACATCAGTGTTATTTATTACTTTGCTACAGATGCCACTATTTTATTAGGTTTTGCCAGAGAATAATTGTTTCTATTGCCACCTGTGGTCAATTCTTCCACTCTGCAATACATTCCACCCTCTATTGCCTACTCAAGGGTCTTTTCCAAGATTTCCTTCTTCTTTGTCCTATATTAGTGTATTTTTCAGTTTTTGCACTGCTAATAAGACATACCCAAGACTGGGAAATTTACAAAAGAAAGGCATTTATTGGACTTACAGTTCCACATGGCTAGAGAGGCCTCACAGTCATGGCAGAAGATGAAAGGCACATCTCACATGGTGGCAGACAAGAGAGGACAGCTTGGGTAGGGAAACTCCCCATTATAATAACATCAGATCTTCTGAGATTTATTTGCTATCACAAGAACAGCATGGGAAAGACCCGCCACCATGATTCAACTACCTCCCACTGAGTCCCTCCCACAACACATGGGAATTCAAGATGAAATTTGGGTGGGGACACAGCCAAACCATATCATTCCACCCCGACCCCTCCCAAATTTCATGTCCTCACATTTCAAAACCAGTCATGCCTTTCCAACAGTACTCCAAAGTCTTAACTCATTTCAGCATTAACTCAAAAGTCCACAGTTTCAAAGTCTCATCTGAGACAAGGCAAGTATCCTCTGCTTATGAGCCTATAAAATCAAAAGCAAGTTAGTTACTTCCTAGATACAAAGAAAGTACAGGCATTGGGTAATACAGCCATTTCAAGTGGGAGAAACTGGCCACAACAAAAGGGCTACAAGCCCCATCCAAGTCTGAAATCCAACAGGGCAGTCAAATCTCAAAGATCCAAAATGATCGCCTTTGACTCCATGTCTCATATCCAGGTTATGCTGATGTAAGAGGTGGGCTCCCATGGCCTTAGGCAGCTCTGCCCCTGTGGCTTTGCATGGTACAGCCTCCCTCCTTGCTGCTTTCACAGGCTGGTGTTGAGTGTCTGCAGCTTTTACAGGCACACGGTACAAACTTATATGATTTGACTACATCATATAAAGAAAATTATACAATATTTGTCTTTTCATGACAGGTTTTTTCCACATAGCATAATGATCTCAATGTATATTCATGTTATAGCATATGTCAGTATTATATATTTTGATGGTCTGTTATTAGGTGTGTAAATGTTTATAATTGTTATATTTTCTTGCTGTATTGAACATTTTATGAATATATAATGTTGTTTGTCTCTTGCAACTTTCCTTGATTAAGACCTATTTTGTTTGATATTAATATACTCCTTTGGTTATTATTTGCATGGAATATCCTTTCCCATCCTTTTGAGAGGTGAAACCAGCTGGACTTCCTGGGTCGAATGGGGACTTGGAGAACTTTTCTGTCTAGCTAAAGGATTGTAAACACACTAATCAGCGCTCTGTGTCTAGCTAACAGTTTGTAAATGCACCAATCAGCATTCTGTGTCTAGCTAAATGTTTCTAAATGCACCAGTCAGCACTCTGTAAAAATGCACCATGATCAGCACTCTGTGTTTAGCTAAAGGTTTGTAAATGCACCAATCAGTGCTCTGTAAAAATGAACCAATCTGCACTCTGTAAAATGGATCAATCAGCGCTCTGTAAAATGGACCAATCAGCAGGATGTGGGTGGAGCCAAATAAGAGAATAAAAGCTGGTCACCCGAGCACATAGCGGCAACCCGCTTGGGTCTCCTTCCATGCTGTGGAAGATTTGTTCTTTCGCTGTAACACTCACTGAGAGGGTCTGAAGTCAGCGAGACCACAAACCCACCAGGAGGAACAAACAACTCCATACGCACCACCTTTAAGAGCTGTAACACTCACCACGAAGGTCTGCAGCTTCACTCCTGAAGTCAGCGAGACCAGGAACCCACCAGAAGGAAGAAACTCCCAACACATCTGAACATCTGAAGGAACAAACTCCGAACACACCATCTTTAAGAACTGTAACACTCACCGCGAGGGTCCGCAGCTTCATTCTTGAAGTCAGCGAGACCAAGAACCCACCGGAAGGAACCAATTCTGGACACACTTTCACTTTCAACCTATTAGTGTTTTTGGCTTTAAAGTGGATCACTTATAGACAGCATATAGTTGGATTGTGGGGCTTCCTTGCTTCCTTCCTTCCTTCCTGTCTCTCTTTCTTTCTCTCTCTCTCTTTCAAAAACGTGTTGCTCTCCCACCCAGGCTAAAGGTGCAGTGATATGATCGATCAAGGCTCACTGCAGCATCAATCTCCAAGGCTCAAGTGATCCTCCCACCTCAGCCTCCTGAGTAGCTGAGACTACAGGCGTGTGCCTGGCTAATTTTCGTATTTTTTGTAAAGATGAGGTTTCACTGTGTCCAGATTGATGGTCCCAAAGGGAGTTCAAGTGATCTGCCCACCTTGGGGATCATGGTTTTTTAAAATCCATTCTGTCAATTTTTGTCTTTTGATTGGAGAGTTTCATTTATATTTAAAGTAAAAATAAGGAGGAACTTCATTCTGACATTTTGTTATTTATTTTCTGTATGCCTTATATTATTTTGGTTCCTTATTTTCTGCATTACTGCCTTCTTTTGTATTAAGCTGACTTTTTTCAATGACTTCTTGTTTCTTTTGTATATATTCTATAACTATTTTCTTTGTGGTTACCATGGTGGTTATGTTTAAGGACCCAGTTTAACAACTGATTTTTTTCTTTCTTTTATTGTCCGTTTCAGCTACAGAATTTTGGAGGGATTCTTTTTGCTTTTCTATCTCTTTGTTAATATTTTTACTTCGTTCATGTATTTGGTTTTTAAAAATTTTCTCTGTCTTCCTTTAGTTCTTTGAGCATCTTTAAGACAGTTGTTTTAAAGTATTTAAAAAATCTGCCATCAGGTTGTTCTCAGAGATGGTTTGTGTTGTTTTATTTTTTCCTTGGAATGAAACATACTTTCTTGGTATTTTTTCCAACTTTTATTTTAGGTACAGGGGACACATGTGCAAGTTTGTTACATGGGTATATTGTATGTCCCAGGGATTTGGTGTACAGACTATTTTTTCACCCAGGTAATAAGCATAGTATCTGAGGTAGTGTTTCAATCCTCACCCGCCTCCATCCTCCACCCTCAAGTAGGCTCTGATGTCTATTGTTCCCTTCTTTGTGTCCATTTGTACTCAATGTTTAATTCCCACTCATAGATGAGAACATGCGGTATTTGGTTTTCTGTTCCTTCATTAATTCATTTAGGATAATGGCCTCTGGCTCCATCCATGTTGCTACAAAGGACATGATTTCATTTGTGTGTGTGTGTGGGTGCATAGTATTCTGTGGTGTATATGTGCCATATTTTCTTTATTCAATACAGCATTAATGGACACCTAGGTTGCTTCCATGCCTTTGCTATTGTGAATAGCACTGTGGTGAACATACACATGTATATGTCTCTATGGTGGAACAATTTCTACACTTTTGGGTGTATACCCAGTAATGGGATTGCTGGATTGAATGATAGTTCTGTTTAAAGTTATTTGAGAAGTCTCCACACTGCTTTCCACAGTGGGTGAACTAATTTACATTCCCACCAGCAGTGTATAAGCATCCTCTTTTCTCAGCAACCTCACTGGCATCTGTTATTTTCTGACTTTTAATAATAGCCATTCTGACTGATGTGAGGTGATATCTCATTGTGGTTTTTATTTGCATTTCTCTAATAATTAGTGATGATGAGCATTTTTTCATAGGCTTATAGGCCACGTGTTTGTCTTTTTTTTAAGAAGTGTCAAAGTGCCTGTTCATGTCTTTTGCCCATTTTTTAATGGGGTTATTTGTTTTTTCATTGTTAAATTCAGTTCCTTATGGAGTCTGAATATTAAACCTTTGTTTGATACATAGTTTGCAAATATTTTCTCCCATTCTGTAGGCTTTCTGTCTACTCTATTGATAATTTCTTTTGCTTTACAAACATCTTTGGTTTAATTTGATCTGACTTGCCAATTTTTGTTTTTGCTGTAATTGCTTACTTTTATGTTTTTTTGTACGCCAAGTAATTTTTTCTTGAAAACTAACCATTTGAATCTAATCATGCTGTAACTCTGCAAATCAGATTCTCTTCCTTCCCAGGGTTTTCTGGGATTTTTTGTTTGTTTGTTTTAGTTTGTTTTGCTTTTTTTCTTCTTGTTGTAGGCTGTCTCCATGCTGAGAATCATGCTAAGTTGTATACTTACGTCTTCCAAGGGGTTTTCTGAGCCTGTGCCTTTCACTGGGCAGTGTAGTCACTTTTTAATTTACTCTATATATGTTCTTGCTTTGGAATGTTGTAGTCTTTAATGTCTGGGTCCTAAAAGGAGAAAAAGAGAAAAATAAAGAGGGAATTTTTAAAAAGCATCAGCCCTTTAAACCTCCTATAAGTTGTTTTTGTTAGAGATCGGAGGAGCTTGCAACAGTGAGGGGCAAAGTAACAATGGTTGGTCACATCCATGTCTACACTCTGGGATTAGAAGCAGCCATTGGCAATGGAAACATGGATCTCAAATATCTGGAGAACAAGGTTCTTACTTCCCACCACGGCTCCTGAAAGCTGTGTTCAATCTGCTCCTTGAATGTGTACACAACTGCCTGCCACAGGGCTGGAGGGTGGTGATGGGTGGCTGCTGATTAGCTGAGAACTGAAATTGACCACAGCTAACTGCAATTTACCGTCCAAGCTTTTCCCTGGAAGTTGTAAACCTTCAATAAACTCCAGTTACAACAGATAGATTTTTCCAGGGCAGTAGTTGTCTCTATTTTTTTTTTTCTGAAAGTCAGACTTATTGATGTAAAATTTACAAACATAAAAATTTTACCCATTGTATAATTCTATGAATTTTGACAAATACATACTTGAGTGATGAATATCAATTCAAGGTATAGGAATAGTCCTGTCATCAGGACTATTGTGTTTCCCCCAATGCTGTTTTAAGTCAATCCCCTTGCAGACTCCTAGTTTCAGAAAACAACTAATTTTTTTCTGTCCCTTTAATTTTGCATTTTTCAGAATATTTTATACCTTAAAAAACACAGTATGTGACTTTTGTGTCTGACTTCTTCCAATTATAATAATGCATGTAAGATTTCTGAGTAATAATCTATTTTGATATTATATTACATAAATGTACTATATACATTGTTTATCCATTCACAAGTTGTTAGATACTTGGGTTGTTTCCAGTTTGACAATTATGAATAACAATTGTTTAAACATTTATGTACAGGATTTTGTGTACATGTAGGTTTTCATTTCTCTTGAGACTACAATTAGGATGCATAACGAATTAAGTATTTGATTAACTTTCTAGGAAACTGCCAAATAGTTTTACACAGTCCCTATTACATTTTGCATACCCAAAAAGAACATGTGAGAGTTCCAGTTGCTCCATTCCCTTGTAGCATTTGAAATTGTCAAGTTTCTTTAAAGCCATTCTAAGAGAAAATAAGTGGTATCACATTGTAGTTTAAGTATGTATTTTCATAGTAATTAATAATGTTGGGTATTTTTCTTATGCTTATTTTTCTTTTGTATATCTTCTTTATTGAAATGTCTATTTTAATCATTTGTGCATTTATTATTGGGTTATTAGTTTATTATAAGATTTGAGTGTATAGTTTCATATTTGGTAAAACAGCCTTATGGTGGATAAGAATTTTGCAAAATATTTTCTCTAAGTCTATGACTTGTGGTTTCATTTTTTATATCTTTTGAAAAGAAAAAAAATTATTCTGAGTCTAATTTATTGATTTTTTTTCCTGTTATGATCCAAGCTGTTCCTATTTCATTTAAGATTCTTTTCTAAACCAAGGTAACAGAAATTTTCTCCTGTGTTTTCTTCTAAAAATTTTATAGTATTTTGGAACAGACCTCCAAGAATCGTTACCTTGCATAAGGATGTTCAATCATTTCAGCACTAATGTTGCCATATGAAATTACATAACATTGGGAGTGATATCTCATGATACTTGGAGGTCTTTACCACACTCAAGATGTGAAGATTATACAGGGTTTAATGATTGGGAGATTTTTATAAAATTATGCCTCCCACTTTGCCAAACTCAGTGATAATATGGGTTTGGATCAATTTCTGGATCTATTGTTTTATTAATCTATATCTCTGTTTTTACCAATACCACATCAACTGAAACTTACCAGAAAGCCTTGATATCATGTAGTGTATAAGTCCTCTAAGTTTTTTCTTTAAAAAAAAGTTATTTCAACTATTTTAGTTCCTTTGTTTTCCCAGAAACATTCTAGAATCAGTTTGTCACTGTATACAAAACATCTGGTGAGATTAAGTCTATAGATGAATCTAGGGAGAGTTGACATTATAATAGTATTGAATCTTCTAATCAATTAACATAGTACATCTCTCCATTTATCTAGGCCTCATCTAACTCCTCTTTGCAATGTTTTGTAGATATGGCATACAAATCTTGCACATATTTTATTAGATTTACACCTTAGTTTTAGGGATATTATGGTATTTTATTGTTTTTATTTTAATTTTTATTTTTTCGGTACAGATGGTTTTTGGTTACATGGATAATTTATTTAATGGTGATTTCTGAGATTCTGGTGCACCTGTCACCTGAGCAGTGTACACTATAACCAATATATAGTTTTCATTTCTCACCCCAGTCTCAACATTTTCCTTGAGTCCCCAAAGTTTTTTATGTCGTTCTTATGCATTTGAGTTCTCATAGCTTAGCTCCCACTTACAAGTGAGAACGTACAACATTTGGTTTTCCATTCCTGAGTTACTTCACTTAGAATAATGGCCTCCAACTCCTTCCAAGTTGCTGCAAAAGACACTATTTCATTCTTTTTTATGGCCGAGTAGTATTTCATGGTGTACATATACCACATTTTCTTTATGCACTTGTTGGTTAATGGGCACTAAAGTTGGTTCCATATCTTTGCAATTGCAAATTGTGCTGCAATGACATGTATGTTTATGTGTCTTGTACATATAATGACTTATTTTCCTTTGGGTAGACACACAGTAGTGGGATTGCTGGAACCAATGGTACTTCTACTTTTAGTTTTTTAAGGAATCTCCATGCTGCTTTCCATAGTGGTTGTACTAGTTTACCTTACCACCAGCAGTGTAAAAGTGTTCCCTTTTCATCATATTCACACAAACATCTATTATTTTTTGACTTTTTAATTATGGCCATTCTTGCAGGAGTTAGGTGGTACTTCGTTGTGGTTTTAATTTGTATTTCTCTGATAATTAGTGATGTTGAGCATTTTTTCCTATGTTTCTTGGCTGTTTGTATATCTTCTTTTGAGAATGTCTATTCGTATCCTTTGTCCGCTTTTTGATGGGATTACTTTTTTCTTGCTGATTTGTTTGCATTCCTTGTAGATTCTAGATATTTGCCAGATGCATAGTTTTACAAATATTTTCTCACACCCAGTAGGTTGTCTGTTTACTCTGCTGATTATTTCTTTTGCTGTGCAGAAGCTTTTTAATTTAATTAGGTCCCATTTATTTGTTTTTGTTGCATTTGCTTTTAAGGTCTTATGAATTCTTTGCGAAAACCAGTGTCACACACTTGGTGTGTGGGCAAGTTTACTGTCTCATATAGGGTTAGAATGGCAGGGATCTCTTGAAGCTTCTCTCGTTCTCTCATAGCATACACTTTATTTATTATTTTCTTCACTATTTTATTTACTGCGTTGATGACTCTAGCTTCAGTCCAATGGGGGAGGTACCAGTTGTAGCTGAGGCAGGTGGGTAGATGTAATACTCAGTGGTGGGCAGAGGTCCCAGCCTTGACAAAGGTAGATGGAGGCACTTTCAATTTGATGTGCTGAGGTTTTATCAGGGTGAAGAGTGGGAGCTTCCTCAGATCCCCTTCCAGGCCAGGAGGAAAGCTATTCACCTCACAGCCTCATGCTTCTCCCAGTGTTCCAGCTATTCAGATCAGACAGGCACCTCTTTTCATCTGCGGAAATGCCATGTTTCAAGTGGAGAGGAATTGTGACTCTGCCTCTTGTGCAGGCCTGAATCTGGGGAGTGCTCCTTCTGTGGGGCTGCAGTCACTGTGAATTATTCCAGGAAGGCTGTCCATAAGTGCACCCAAGCTGCATTCCCATGGGACAAGTCCCAGCTGTGTTTGCAGTGGTCTACCAGCAGGGACAAGGACCCCTTCTCCAAGGCCGTTCACAATCACAGAGACCGTTGGGGTAGAGAAGCAGACTTTCCATACTGTGCTCAACACAGCAATTGTGCTCTGCTGTAGAAAACTTCCCACAAGCAGAAAGATCTGGGGCGTTAGGCCTGCTGTTCAGATTCTTTTGTACGATGAGGTGTTCCCTTGATGTGGTGCTCTCCCCTTTCATATAGGAATGGGGCTTACTATGAGCTGGACTGTAGTGATTGTGATTGCTCTTCTGGGTGTAGCCACCCAGTGGGGCTATATGACTCCAGGCTGAGAAATGTCTGCAAAAGATCCAGTGATGTGACCTGTCTTCAGGTCTCCCAGAGGTGGATACCAGCAGATGCTCTAATGGAGGTGGCAGGGAAGAGACATAGACTCTGTGAGATTCCTTGGGTGTAGATAGGCTTAGTGTGCTGGCTTTCTCGAATGCTATGCTATTAGTAAACTTGTCAGGTGGACAGACTCAGGACCTTTGGTTAGCCGAGGTGTTGCAAGTAGTAGTGTTAGCTGAGATCCCGCAGCTGTTTTCTCCTTCCTGGGTACAGTGTTATTCTGCCAAGAGGTGTTGTAATGGTCTGAGTTTCTTGACCTTTAGCCGGAAGATGGTGCTTGCAAGAGAGCACCAGCTGTGTAGTAGCAGTGCGATTTGAACTTGCCCTGTGTTGTCCAGGGGAAGTATTCTACTTTCTCAAGTGATGGACGGGGCCATAAGCTCCCAAAAGTTTATGACTATTTTGTTTAGAGTTTCTCTCCTGTCTTATGGAATAGGCTGCAGCCTTCTACTTCTTTTGAAGGGTCTGTGAATTCTTTTAGTTTTCCTGGTAAGTTCCTGTCATGTTTCTTGGAAAACAAATTCACAGTGTGAATCTCTACCCACTATTCTGTCCTTCCAAGTGGGAAAGACACACTACACTGCTTCTTATCTGCCATCTTGAAAAACAGTTGAAAAAAATAAAAATAAAAAAAGATTAATTGTATTTTAAATGGTACTTTTTAAATTTCCAAATTTTTATTTCTATATATAAAATGCAAATGATTATTATTGTGTGTTAACCTTGTATCCTACAACTTTGCAATACTCCAAATAGTTTAAGTTTTGGTGCATTATATGACGTTTTCTGTATCAACAATTATATTATTTGTAAATAGACAGGGATGTTTTGTTTCGTTTTGTTTTGTTATTGAGACAAAATCTGGCTCTGTTGCCCAGGCTGGAGTGCAGTGGCACAATCTCGACCCTCTGCCAACTTCTGCCAGCCAGGTTCAAGTGATTCTCATGCCTCAGCCTCCTGAGTAGTTGGGACTAAAGGTGTCTGCCACCATGCCTAGGTAATTTTTTTGTAGTTTTAGTAGAGATGGGGTTTTGCCATGTTGGCCAGGCTGTTCTCAAACTCCTGACCTCAGGTGATCCACCTGCCTTGGCCTCCCAAAGTGCTGGGATTACAGGTGTGAGCCATCATGCCTGGCCAAATAGAAAGTTTTTTTATTTCTTCATTTACAACCTGTTGTTGTACCTGGCCCTACAAAGCCAGTACTGTTTTTGTGTACCATTATCCCAGGATCCAGAGTCACCACTGCATGGTACCTTATTCCCCAGAGCCCAAGTTGCCACTGTGACCTGTTAGTCCCAGGTCTTGAATTGCAGCTGTGCCTTGTTCCCCAGGTACAAAGCCTCCAAAGCACTCCTTCTTCCCCAGTGCCATGGCAAAGCACCCTGCTCCCAGTGGTCTGAATCACAACTACACCCCAGCCTTCAGGGCTGTAGCTGTTGGAATGTCCCTCGGAGAAACAGACACTAGCTTTATGAAAGAACTGCATCTACTCATGTCTTGGAAAGTTAACACGCACCTTAGGTACTACAGTAGTTGTATAATCCAGAGCCCAGGAACTTGGCTCCACAGCTGCTTTCAGAACCTGTTCCCTAGACCCCAGTTCTGCCATGGCTGCTTGTGGGCTGACACCAAGAAAGATCTTCTTATCTAAAACTCCTACTATTGGGAAGACAAGAACAAGAAGATCCCCGAAGCCTTTTCTCCAGTAATAAGTCCAGCCACTGTCACTGCCACCAATTCCTGCAGCCTAGATCACTGAGGCACCACAGCCATTGTTGATATTGATCAAAATGGAATAAACTACACAGAGACGACACATTGTCCTATATGGAACAAGCGTCAACACACCCTATCCAATCAGCATGCTCAGGCACATCTTCAGGTGAAAGTATTCCCCTACCAAAGCCACTCTGTAAAGTTCAAAAGAGATTAATGGACCCAGATGCACAGATACTAATGCAGGGACACAAGGAAAATGAAAAAGCAAAGAAATATGACACCAGCAAAGGAACACAAGCATTTTCTAGTAACTGTCCACAAAGAAATACAAATTTATGAATTGTCTGAAAATGAATTCAAAATAATGATCTGAAGGAAAGTCAGTCAGATGCAAGATAATACAAACAGATAAGTTAACAAAATCAGGACAACAATTTGCAATCTGAATGAGAAATTCAACAAAGTGATATTATTTACACACACACACAAAAACCCACCAGAAATCTTAGAGCCAAAGAATTTAACCAATAAAGTAAAAAAAAAAAAAAAAAATACAATAGAGAGCTTCAACACCAGACTAGATCAAGCAGACGAAAGAATCTGTCTCTTGAAGATAGGTATTTTGAAACGACTCAGTCAGAGGGAAAAAAATGAAAAACAGTGAAGACAGCCTATACAACTTATGGGACACCATTAAGCAAATAGTCACATTATGTGATTTCACACAGGAGAAGAGAAATAGAAAGGGACAGAAAACTTATTTAATGAAATAATTGATAAAAACTTCCCAAGTTTTGGGAGATATTTGAACATTCATTCCTGATTTCACACAGTTGTAGAGACAAGAAAGGCACAGAAAACTTATTTAATGAAATAATTGTTAAAAACTTCTCAAGTCTTAGGAGAGATTTAAACATTCATAGCCACGAAACTTGAAGCCCCCAAAAAGATACAACCCAAAGACATTTTCACCAAGGATGGTTGTAATCAGTTTCAAACATTAAAGAAAAGGAAAGAATTGTTAAAGCAGCAAGAGAAAAGTCTCAGGGAAGTCTCATTAGACTATCAGCAGATTTCTCAGCGGGAACTTTGCAGGCCATTGGAGAGTGGTATTACATATTCAAAGTGCTGAAATTAAAAAAAAAAAAATCAGCCAAGGATAGTACATCCAGCAAACTGTTCTTCAGATATAAAGAAAAAACAATGTCCCAGACAAGCAAAAGCTAAAGAAATTTATCTCTGCTAGATCTTCCCTACAAGAATGTGTAAGGGAGTTCTTCAAGCAGAAAAGAAAGAATGATAGTTACTACCATGATTGCATATAAAAGTATAAAACTCACTGGTAGAAGTAAATACACAGTCAAATTCACAATATTTCAATATGGTAATGGTGGTGTGTAAATCATACATATCTCTACTATGAAGGTTAAAAGTTAAAGCTGTCAAAAATTACTAAAGCCAAGGCCAAGTGCAGTGGCTCATGCCTATAATCCCAGAATTTTAGAAGGCCGAGGCGGGTGGGTCACTTGAGGGTAGGAGTCCGAGACCAGCCTGGCCAACATGGTAAAACCCCATCTCTACTAAAAATATAAAAATTAGCTGGGCATGGTGGCACATGCCTGTAATCCCAGCTACTCAGGAGGGTGAGGCATGAGAATCATTTGGGCCTGGGAAGAGGAGGTTGCAGTGAGCCGAGATCACATCTCTGCACTCCAGCTTGGGCAACAGAGTGAGACTCTGTCTCAAAAATAAAATACATAAAAAATTAAAAAACAAAAATAATAAAAATCACTAAAGCCCCAAAATAAGTTAAGAAATACACAATATTAAAGAATGTGAATTGTTGTCTCATCAAATACGTAAATTTGGGGTGGGCAGTAAAAGTCTAGAGTTTTGCATATGACAGAAGTTATCAGCTTAAAATAATTGATTATGAGACGTTTTATGTGAGCCTCATGGTAACCACAAAACAAAAACTATAGGAGATATATAAATAATGAAGTTGTAGGAATCAACACTTAACACTAGATAAAATTACCAATTGGCAAAGTAAACAAGAAAGGAAAAAAGAAACAAAAGAGCTACAAAACAATGAGAAAGCAATTGAAAATGGCAGGACTAAGTCCATACCTATTAATAACAACCTTGAATATAAATGGATTCAATTTTCCAATCAAAAGGCAGAGTAGCTGAGTGGATTTACAAACAAGATCCAAGTATATGCTGCCAACAAGAGACTTAAGCTTACCGGCACATATGCTGGAAGTAAAAGGATAGAAAATATCCCATGCAAATGGTGACCACAAGAGAGCAGAAGTGGCTAATTTATATCTGATAATGTAGATTTTAAGTCAAAAACTTTTAGCAAAGACAAAGGAGGTAATTATTTAATGATAAAAAATCAATTCAACAATTTTAAATATAGTAGCACCCAACATTGGAGCACCAAAATACACAAAGCAAACATTAGTGGGCATAAAGGAACAAATAGATAACAATAGAATAATACTAGGGGACTTCAATACCCCACTTTGAACAAAGAATAAATCAATAAAACAGAAAAATGATAAGGAAATATTGGACATGAATTGCATTTTTGACTAAATAGGCCAAACAGATGTGTAATATTTTCATCCAATGGCAGCAGAGTACACATTTTTCTTTAATGGACAGGAAGCATTCTCCAGAATCAACCATATGTTAGGCCACAATAGAAGTCTTAACAAATTTAAGGAGACTGAAATCATATCTAGCATCATTTCAAACCACAGTGGCATGAAACTAGAGATCTATAACAGGAGAAATAATGGAAATTTTACAAATATGTGGAAATTAGCAACATTCTTCTAAACAACCAAATGGATCAAAGAAGAAATCAAAAAGTAAACTTACAAATATCTTGATACATCATGAGACACACAACAGCAATAAATGCCTACATTAAAAATTAAAGAAATACCAAATCAATAGTCTAACATTACACTTCAAGGAACCAGAAAAAGAACAAACTAAACCCAAAATTAGCAGAAAAAAGGTAAAAAAAAAATAAAAAAAAAAGTCAGAACAGAAATAGAATAAAATGGAGAACAGAAAAAAATAAATAACATTGAGTTCTTTTCCAAAAAAACTAATGAAAATTGACAAACAGCTAGTCTAAGAAAAAAAAGAGAAAACTCAAATAAATAAAAAATAAAAGAATCATAAGGCAATATTTTGAACAAATACATACTAACAAATTGGATAACCTAGAGTGAATGGATAAATTCCTAGAGAAATACAACATACCAAGATCGACTGAGGAAGAAATAAGAAGCCTGAAAAGACAAATAACAAACAAAAAGATTGAAGAAGTATTCAAAAACTTGCTGACAAAGAAAAGCTCAGGACAAGATGGTTTCCCAGCTGAATTCCACCAAACATTCAAATAAGAATAATACCAATTCTTCTTAAACTCTTTCTAAATATACAGTTATAAGGAATACTTTCAGATGCATTTTATGAGGCCAGCATCACCTTCATACATAAGACAGACAAGGATAATACAAGGAAAGCAAACTACAGGCCATTTTCTCTGAATATTGATGCAAAAATTCTCAAGAAAAGTTTACCAAACCAAATTTAAAAACACATCAAAAAGATTATATATCATGGCAAAAAGGATTTAACCCTGACATGAAAGCCAGGGTTAACATATGCACATTAATCAATGTGACACATCACATTAACAAAATGAAAGATAAAAACAACATGATTATCTTAGTGGATGCAGAAAAAGCATTAGTCAAAATCTAATATCGTTTTCATTACAAAAACTCTCAACAGTTTAGATATAGAAGAAAAGTTTTTCAACATAATAAAGACAATTTATGGAAAAACTCAGCATAATCAACAAGAAACAACTGAAAGTTTTTCCATTAAGATCCAGTACAAGACAAGGATGCCTCCTCTCGTTGCTTCTATTTAACATAGTACTGGAAGTACTATCCAGAGCAATCAGACAAGAAAAAAAAGGCATTCAAATCAGAATGCAATGATTAAACCATCTCTGTTTGCAAACGACATGATCCTGTATGTGAAAAATCCTGGGGATTTTGAAGAAAACCTGTTAGAATTAATAAATGAATTTAGTAAAGTTGCAGGATACAAAATCAACATGGAAAAATCAGCTGCATTTTCCACACTAATAACAGCCTACTTGAAAAGGAAATTATTTCTTTTTGCCATTTCCAAAGCTCTTTATTTCTTTTCTAGTTCAACAATTTTGTCTATGATGTTTTTCTTCTACCTGAAAATCTTCTTTTAATATATCTTACAGTACACATCTCTTGGCAAGAAGTTGTCTCAGATTTTTTTCTGACAAAGTTTTTATTTACTCTTATTATATAATGAGGTTCTTTCTCTGGACATTCTTTTCTTTCTCAACATCATCTGCTACTGCTGTGACCCTCACTCCCTGAAATAAATAGCAAATTTAGTCTACTAAGAGAAAAGAAAATTAATTACAACTATATTTGACTCTTCACTTTTCTTCAAAAATACCAGGCATATTCTCACCTCATGGCCTTTCCACTGGACGTTCCCTCTGACTGAAACTCTTCCCCCAGATATCTATACAGCATATTCCTTCAACTCCTTCAAAAATTAACTCAAATATCATCTTTTCAAAACAATATCACACCCATCTCCAGAAAGCACTCTTTTTCCTTCTTGCACTGTTTAATATTCCCTCCTGAGATTTATCACCTTTTATCATAGTATATTATTTACTTATTTACTTATATTTACCTGTTTCCTTCCAGTAAAATAGGAAATAATAATTTTTGTCTCTTTTTTTCACTGCTGCACTTAGAATAGTGTCTGGCAAATAGCAGACAATCACTAAATATTTATTGAATGAAATGCTAATTTGTGGTCGACTTCATGAATTAGATTAAGTAACATATGTAAAACACCTGACATTTAATGTGACCTCAGTAAACACTTCTTGTGTGTACAAGAAGCAGTGGTAGACACACATTATAAATATATTATAATAAACTGGTATATATTTTAAGTTTTTAAGTTTAAATTTCTCTATTATAAGTGGAAATAATAAGTAAGTACATATTTTTTAATTACATCCTCATATGAGGAGGTCCAGGTAGTAAAAAACAATGCACATTTTACAATTGTTTTGTGTGGGGGGGTTTAAGTATGAATAGAGTTTTACTCTATAGACATAAAATCATACTAATAGTAATTGTCTATGAATGTGAAACTTGGATCTAAGGCAAGCCCATTTTCAGAGTAGGAGTGGAGATCAGTCTTCTAATTAAAACTGCAGAAAGGAATGGCCATGAATCCATGTGAACTGTAAATATATTTGCCACCAATTTCCTACATTCCTACAAATGAAGTAAAAAGAGATTTCTGAATGTGTTCCTGATAATAATTGATAATTAGACTCTGCTCACTTAGACTAAGGTGTTTTTTTTTTCATGAGAATGAAAAGTATGTAAAATGTAGAGTTATCTTGGAAGATTCAGAAAAAAAAATAACATTCCATCAGAGTGGCATAAAAAGATAAAGAAAAAGTAGTTGTCTAAGAAGGGGACCCTAGGGCACCAATGAAGTTTAGGATGATATAGAGACTTATTTTTCACTGGACACACTTTGTACCTGTTGATTTTTAAAATCATAGGCATTTATAGTATATAAAAAGCATATAAGATGCAGTAATTTCATTTATGGATGTATTCATCTGAGTTCTTCAGAGAAACAGAACAAAAAGCTTTTTTATATAGAAAAACCTTTATTTTAAGGAATTGGGGGCTGCAGAGTCCAAATCTGCATTGTGGACTAACAGGCTGGAAACCCAGAAGACCTGATGGTAAAGATGTACTCTGAAGACAGCATGAAGGAAAATTCTCTGTTGCTCAGAAGGCCGATCTTTGGTCCAACTCAGACCTTCACTTGATTGGATGAGGTCTACCCACATTATGAAGGGCAATCTGCTTCCTCAAATTTCACCAATTTAAATGTAAATTTCACCAAAAATTACTAGATTAAGAAAGCACAGATTAATCTCCAATATATTAAGCTGAAA
Source organism: Homo sapiens (assembly GCF_000001405.40). Taxonomy (NCBI): domain Eukaryota; kingdom Metazoa; phylum Chordata; class Mammalia; order Primates; family Hominidae; genus Homo; species Homo sapiens. The sequence continues at coordinate 35,068,167 of NC_000008.11, forward strand.
GAAAGATGCCTTTCATAAGAGAGCACAGAAGGTATGATTTCACTTATATAAAGTTCCAGAACAGAAAAATCTAATCTATGGTGGAAAAAAATCAGATAAGTGGTTGCACCTGTTTAAGTATTGATAAGGAAGGAGCAGGGAGAAACATTCCAGATTAATGGAAATGTTCTATATCTGGAAAGGTACTTGGTTTCCAGAGTTATATGCAGTTGTCACACCCATCGAATGGTATGCTAAAAATTGTGCATTTCATTATGTAAAAATTTTACCTGAAAAACTAAAAATAAATATTGAGCACTAGTTAATGATATACATGCTTAAGTATTTATAGGTTGTTAACGTTTCAGCATGCATATCATTAACTAGAATTTAATATTTGTTTACTGTATACAACCTACTTTAAGATGCATTAATTCATTTAGGTGGATTTGTGGATAAACAATGGGACAGATAGATGAATAGTTATGTGAGAAAGTAAATATGGTAAAGTTAACTATGGCACCTATGTGGTGGATATATGGGTATTCATTGAACACATTTGTATTTCTCTATGTTTGAAATGTTTTAAAATAAAATATTAAGACAAAAAGAAAATGTAAATTAAAAAATTACTTTTACAAGTATTTCCCTCTATGCATTCAGCATAATTGGCCCTCCTTGGGTAAAATTAGAAATCCATTTTCCTAATTATTTTACATTCAAATATAAAATATCTACAAGGAAAAACTGCAACAAAATTTCATTTACCTTTTTCAATTCCATTTCTTGCTAGAGAGCAGATGCAAACTGCAGCAAAGACTACAGCACTACTTATGAAAAAATCCACATGATTATTCACTTTAACAGGGCACAAAAGTGAGAATCTGAAAGAAGGGTTCAAAAGGCTCTAATCTCGCTGCCTAAGATGTATTCTTGTTGTCTTTGCAAACTATTAGAACTCTAGACCTACAGCCATGACATTGTATATTGAAATGTTACTAACAAAACATCATTTGCCTCACTAGAATTCTCCAGATGAGAGCTCTGAGTTCTTCAGGTAAAAAGGGAGTGATATCAGTCAACACTTTAGTCTGATTCCAGATTGCAAAATGAAGGATGGACTTGTATCACTTATTTGATTCCAATTTGTACAAACTGGTCAGTGATTAGGCAAAGTAAATATTGGAAAGAAGAAATTCCTTCTAACTTACCAATGGCAATTTCAGGTATGAAATAAAACATTACCTATGTCACATAACTTACATTATGTCAATAACTCTGCACTAATGATGGTGAACTTCACTATAGGCACTCTATTATAATTTTAAAAAGGCTCAATTGGAAGTCTTCTGGATCCTCTTCCCACTTTTACTTCTCTGTGACCCCACTTCCACTGTCCTTAGGGTAATCCATTCAGACAGAGTTTGATAATGTTGAAAAAGTAGTTTCCAGTAATAATGCATCAATGCCTTTTCATTCACATAGCACTTTGCCATTTTAATATGTTTTGGAAATATCCGGCTCAATAAGACTTGATAAGATGATGCTGCCTATAGCACTAGCTTTCAAACCGTTGTTCAAATGCAGCTGCATGAAAGTCACTTAGGTTGCTTATTTCAAAAGTAGGTTTATTGGACCTACCCCTCACCTACTCAAACAGAATTTTGTAAGAGGGCATCCAGAATCTTCTTTCTTTCTGTCTATGTAGGTATCTAGATATCTATATCTATCTATCTATCTATCTATCTATCTATATCTATCTTCTATCTATCTATCTATATCTATCTATCTAATCTGTCTATATATGTGTATATCTACCAATCTATCACTTTGTAATGATGCTTTCAATCAATTAAGCTTAAAAATTACATTTTTCTTACTAGTTCTGCCAATTCTTGGCATGAGAATCTTGTTGACAATTGTCACCTGAGGTTCAGCTGGTTGAGACAACCAACGATCCACAATATGTGAGGAACATTTGAACATTGGAACCGAAAAGAGACAAAAGGATTAATTCAAAATACATTAGTATCCATAATAGGATGGCTTTATTAGCATATGTGTATATAGAAAAGAGAAAAAGAGAGGAGTGTAATTTGAGGTACAGTAATACCTACATGATTCTGGTTGTAAGGCCTAATTCTTTCTTCCTAGAAATTAGTAACAATACTTACCAAATGAGGCTAAGGCTATAACTTTGTTTGGCCAGGATCTTTAGTTTTTCTTTCTTTGTCATCTGGATCACTCTCTTTTTCTATCTCTGATTTTCAGTGGAATAGTGGCTTTATAATATCAGCTATGACAAACTAACACAGGAACAGAAAACCAAACACCAAGTGGGAGTTGAACAATGAAAACACATGGAAACAGGGAGGGAATATCACATACCAGGGCCTGTTGGGGGATGGGGGGCAAGGGGAGGGAGAGCATTAGGACAAATACCTAATGCATGCAGGGCTTAAAACTTAGATGACGGGTTGATAGGTGCAGCAAACCACTATGGCACGTGTATACTACCTATGTAACAAACCTGTATGTTCTGCACATGTATCCCAGAACTTAAAGTAAAATTTTTAAAAAATCAGCTATGAGATTACAATGTTGAGAGACAACTCTCTATAAGTCTCTTTTATTCTGCATGCCTTGCAACAGAGGCACCAACTGCTTTTGTTCTGAGCTATATTTTCAAGAATATTTCTATAACAAACATCCTTGGAAGATAGAGATAATGTCTTCCTCCAGGCCAAAGAGCAGATTTTCTTAGTACTTAGTGTAAAGGATTCAGGTTTTCTGTGTTCCAGGTTTTATCTTCTGTGATGCAATCCATTACATGTACAGGTGTCACCTGGCCTTCTTCGTTTCACCCGGTGAGAATTGAGGATTAGGGTTCTTCTAGTGCAAGAAAAGACTGGTTATTTAGCTACTGCTAGTGCTGTGAGTAATTCACTGTCCTTTGTCTCTAACTCAGATGTCATGTGTCTTTGGCAGAATTCATGAATCTGTGGCAAGGTAATTGCTTACTTGCTTAAAAGTAGGATAAAATATCAGATTTTTCAGTTTTTGACAGGCAATTGCATAACATTTTCAATTTATCTCTACTTTCTAAAAGTTCAGATGAAGTAGTAAGCCCTTGGCAACTTTATTTTATAATTCTAATTATCTAGTTCGTAATATATAAAATTCCAAGAAGCTCTTGCTGTTTCAAAGAAACAAACACTCTAGGCTAGGCATGGTGACTCACACCTGTAATCCCAGCACTTTGAGAGACCAAGGCAGGAAGACCACTTAGAGCTAGGAGCTCAAGATCAGCCTTGGCCAAAAAGTGAGACCCCCATCTCTACAAAAAAATAAAATAAAATAAATTAGCCAGTTGCAGTGACATGTAACTGTAGTTCCAGTTACTCAGAAGGCTGAGGCAGAGGATTCCTTGAGCCCGGGAGTTCAAGGTTGCTGTGAACTATGATCATGCCACTGCATGCCAGCCTGGCTGACAGAGCAAAACCCTGTCTCTACAAAAAAAGAAAGAAAAAAACATCTGAAAATCTCTTCTACAGGTAATTACAATCCCAAACATGGCATCTCTCCTTTAGCCAGGTCTACACTGTCAGTACATTATCTCTCCTCAAAGTTCTGATATGTGTTCTTCTGGAGGGAAAAGCTGGCATTTTATCACTGTTAGGAATTCATTTTATCCCTATTGGCCTCTGCATGTGTAGCAACTTCCACGTTGAAGCTAAACTGAAATATCTTCTTCCATTAATTTTATGAGTGACTTTCTGAATGTCTAAGAAGTTTGACCATAGCTGCCTATGCAACTAGAAAGGAAGTAGGAAGATAGCAATTTCTTACCAGTTTCATTTCTAGGTTTAGGTATAGACTTCCAAACACATTTTTTATTTTATTCTCTATTTTATGTAAACATATAGTCTTATCAACTTGAATAATTTTAAAGTGGAAAAAGATCTTAGAAGCCACCTATGTGCAACCTCCCACATTAAGCAGGCATGTGCTCTACTAACTATAAGCAGCCATTGTTTAGTAATCTACAGTAATGGGAGCTTATGGAATTCATATAACATGCTTATTGTGATTGAGTTAATTTAATAATTTAGCAGCACTTGTTTATACTAAGCATAAATCAGTTATCATAATCATCTCCAGTTGTTAGTCCTATGCCTATCCTCAAGAGCCACCACTGAATTAATTTACTCCCTCTCAAATATCATAAGCTATCTACCCCCAAACTAAACTTAACAAATCACAAAGATTTTTTAATGACATGGCTTCAAAATCTTTGGGTATCTAGCAAAATCCATACTCAAATGCACTTCATATGTGCTCAGCCCACAATAGCCTACTAGCAAAACTTAATACTGTATTAGCCTTTTTATGCAGATGTATCACATTGTTGATTTTTATTGTGTTCACAGTTAACTAGAAACATCAGATACTTTACACATGAATTTCTAACAGCCAGGTTCATCACATTTTAAATTCATGCAATTGATTTTTTTATCTAAATGCATTGTGCTAAGTTAGTTTGGTGGGTTTTAATCCATTTTTTCCGTCCTCTTAAAATTCTTTTTGAATGTTATTGCTATAATCAAACTATTGGTACCTTTTCCAAGTTTTCTCATTTAAAAATCTGAAACAAATGTCTTTTAAACCTTTACTCAAGTTATTGATTAAGACATCAGATAGAACAGAGCCAGAAATAAAAAAAGCCTTTGATCTTAAACTTTAAACTTCTTTCATGGTTGACATGATTTTAAGCTCTATATTTTTATGTGTGAATATTTAAAATGCTTCAAATTTATCTTATTTTTGTCAGTTAGGATTCATTTATTTATCTTATTCCCAATGTTGCAATGACTTGAGATAATTTAATAAGTATCTTGCTGAAATTTGAGAAACTACTCGATTAAATATATTATAAAGTTTATAAGTATAGGAGGGCATGGTGGCTCACACCTGTAATCCCAGCACTTTGGGAGGCCAAGGTCGAAGTATCATTTGAGCTCAGGAGTTCAACACCAGGCTGGGCAACACAGTGAGACCCAGTCTCTACCAAAAAAAAAAAAAAAAAAACAAACCTATAAAAATTAGCCAGGTGTGGTGGTGTGCACCTGTAGTCCTATTTACTCAGGAGGCTGAGGAAGGAGGCTCCTTTGACCCTAGTTCAAGGCAACAGTGAGCTATGTTTATGCCATTGCACTCCAGCCTGGACAAAAACTTTGAAAACACTGAAAATATAGATAATGCCAGTTAACTCTATTATAAAGGTGGCTGTGTAAATTAGAAGTGGTCCACATAGCCTGCATAATAACATACAGATGAACAAAGAAGTGCAAATAAAATTCACATAAAACACATAGCTTCAACATTATTACAAGTTAGAGAACAAAAGTTTTAAATCACCTGTACATAGACAAATCAACATTAAATGCCAACAGAGATACCATTAGACTTCTCGCTGTCACTTCATGACATTGGATATGGGGAACGGTGCTGAGTCTAAAGAGACTGCATGGAAAAGTGGAACACAGAAAAAGAAACATATACACAGCAAACACAAATTCACCACACAAAGAAAAATCCAACACAGAACACAGGTCAGAAACCTGTTGGTTGAAAGTATGAGCTATAGTTAAAAGATTTGAAAATATATGTGTCTGAGATGGCAGTCATGGGAAAACATTATATCTAGGGGGAGAAGAAGGTAAGTAGGAAGGAGGAGACATCATTTTAAGCTGTAGTAGTGAAGCCAAATCAAGAATTAAGAGGAAAAAAATAAGGCTCTTGAAAAAATGAAAAAAACAAGAAACATAAATTCTTTTCCCTCATCATCACCACCGACATAAAAGTTATTCATTAAAAAAGTAACTTTATGAAACTAACAGAACAAAAAGTGGTTTTGAAATACAAACAGAATTTATCAAAAGGATAGAATAAAATTAGCCTATTTCCATATAATGATACTATGTAAGAAAAACAGAAAATGATAAACAATGTATCTGATAAAAATCTCCCTCAAAAAACAATCTTAAAGTAGAAAAAAATTATAGCACAACACTCAAACTAAATAAAATATCCTACAAAAGATCATTTCAAGATCATGCTTATATAATTAATTCAAAATTTAAAAACAAAAATAGATAAAACAGCAAAAAAGGAAATGAACTGACAGCAGTTACTAAAAGTTAAAGAAAAAGACATACATGAAAATTAAGGTGAAAGACAATTAATCAAGAATAGAGTTAAATGAAAATTGGTAGGAAGAATTAAATAGGGACGGGTTAACAAAAGTAATGAAAAAAAAAAGAGGAGATAAAGGACAAAAAAAGAGTCAGAAAGAAAGGGATTAAAATGGTATACAGGCAAAGAAGATCTACCATAACAGTAACTGGAGTCCCTGAAGAATATTATTAAACAATGTAACAAAGACTGTACATTTAATTGTAATCCAGAGTTCTACTTTTGGCCACAATGAATAAACAAGGCTCAAACTAGCAATCCTGCCTCAACAACACTGAAGAAAATATAAACAAGAATTGTTTTCCAACATTGGAGATCAGGTAGTGAAGGACTGTGACCTATGAGGAAAGAGAATGAGGTGAGCCTTATAATTATTCCCATTTGGGGTAGCAGAGTCCTGTGGGCTAAACTGAGTTGAGGAGGCGGAGATTAGAGCTTGCCTAATTCCTTGGCTGACGACCAATTATGAAAACACACACAAGACCACTAAGTGTACCTAGCTTAAAAGCATTAGATGGAAATCTTAAGAGCAAAACTGAGATATCAACTTCTTCATTTTGTGAGGGAGATAACTTTTCAGTTTGAGTCCATGCAAATTAACTACTGGAATAAAAAGCCAACACTCTCCAAAAGAACATAACAGAATTACTATATTATATTATCTACAATATTTACTTAACAATGACAATCATGAGACATGTGAAAAAAATAAAAATAAAAAGTAAGTATGACCTATTCAGAGGAGAAAGAGCAGTCAATGAAAACATTCTGAACAAGAGCCACTGTGGGATATAGTAGATCAAAACTTCAAAGCTTATATTACAAATATATTCAAAGAATTAAAAGATAAATATTCAAAGAATTAGAGGAAAAATGATAAAAGTGAGTCAACAAATAAGGACCATCAGTAGACAAAATGCCATTATATAACTGAAAATCCTATAACATAAAGAAAGTAATAATTCGCTAGATAGGGAAGAACAGTTAATTGATAGACTACTTGATTTTGAGAGATATTAAAGCAAGAGTAATAGAGTGAATTTTAGCCTAAGGAAAAAATATTTAGATTAGTGAAACAGAAAAGAGAGTCCAGAAATAGATCCACACATTTACGAGCAATTGATTTTTAACAAAGGCACCAAGGTAATTCCATAGGAGAAAGGATTAACTTTTCAGCCAGTAGTGCTTGAACAACTGGACATCCATCCGTAAAAAAGTTCAATGAACTTCACATCATAGACAAAATTAATTCAAAATAATGTATAGATCTATTGTAAAAATTCAAACTATAAAAATTTTAGAAGATAACATAGGAGACCATCTTTTTGACCATGGGTTAGGTAAGCTCACATTCTCTAGACACAACCTACTAAACAACTAAGGATAAAATAAAAAATCGATAAAGTGAATTTTATCAAATTTTAAAATGTCTGCCTTTCGAAAGTTACTCCTAGGAAAATTGACAGGCTATCACAGTTGAGGATAAAAATATTCACAATATATATCACAAGATATATATATATATATATATATATATATATATTCACTATTATGTATATCTGATAAAGAAGTTGTTTTCAGAAAATATCATTTTAAAACTTTTATAGATTAATAATATTAAGACAAACAGGTTTTCCCAAAACTGGCAACAGATTTAAACAGTAGCTTTGCTAAAGAAGCTATATGAATAGTCAATAATCACATAAAAAGGTGTTCGACATCATTTATCATCAAGGAAATTCAAAAGAAAATAACAATTAGCTACTACTGCACAACTAGTACAATGGCTGAAGTAAAAAACAAACAAAAAAATGAATATACAGTGTTGCAAGGAAGTAGAGCACACAAAACACTCATATGCTATTGTTGGTAATATAAAATTGTTCAAGAGCTTTGCAAAGCAGTTTGGCAGTTTCTCATAAAATTAAAGGCACATGGCCGGGCACAGTGGCTCACGCCTGTAATCCCAGCCGTTTGGGAGGCCGAGGCGACAGGATCAAGAGGTCAGGAGATTGAGACCATCCTGGCTAACACGGTGAAACCCCGTCCCTACTAAAAACACAAAAAATTAGCCGGGAGTGGTGGCAGGCGCCTGTAGTCCCAGCTACTCGGGAGGCTGAGGCAGGAGAACGGCGTGAACCCGGGAGGCAGAGCTTGCAGTGAGCCGAGATCGCGCCACTGCACTCCAGGCTGCGAGACAGCGAGACTCCATCTCAAAACAAAACAAAACAAAACAAAACATTAAATGCACATTTACCCGATGATCCAACAATTCCTCTCTTATTTGTCCAAGAGAAACAAAAACATGTACACCAAAAAACTTGTTCACAAATGTTTACAGAAGGTTTGTTTCCAAAAGCTAATACGTAAAACAACACGAGTATCTATCAAAGGCTAAATTCTTAAATTTGTGGTATATACATACAATGGAATACTACATGTCAATAAAAAGGTATAAACTACGAACACATAAAACAGTATGGATAAATTCCAAAATCATGCTGAGAAAGAGAAGCAAGATAAAACAGAAACAAGGCACCCTACATGAACCCTGTATGATATCACACACAATATGTTTATATTGTATGATTAACTTATATGAAATTCCAGAAAAGTCTAACCTGTAGTGATAGAAATCAAATCAGTGATTGCTTGGGGCTATCACATGGGTGGTAAGATAGATGCTTGGGGAAAGGGATTAACTGAAATGGAGTGGAAGGGCATTTCCTTGAGGCATAAGAAAGTCCTATATCTTGATGTGGTAGTGTTTATGTGGGTAACAAAACATATACATTTATCAAAAGTCATCAAACTCTCATTTTAAACAGTTGAATCTTAATGTATGTAAATTATTCCTAAATAGAATTGAGTTAGGAAAAAAAAACTGTAATCAAAGAAAAGTTTCTTGAACTAAAAGACTTACATCTACATACTAAAAGGTTCACTGGGTTCCTGGAATAATTGAGTTGGAATTTCCTGAATTTTGTGACATACCCTTGTAAAACTATTATAATTTAGAGACAAAGAAAAAAAATTCTCCAGTCTTGCTCACTGAAAGACCAAAGTAAGAAAATAACAATGGGATCAGATCTGTCAAAATCAACAAACAAGTCAATTTTGTAGCAGCATTTTTATTTTATTTTATTTTATTTATTTATTTCAAGACGGAGTTTCATTCTTGTTGCCCAGGCTAGAGTGCAATGGCATAATCTCAGCTCACCACAACCTCCGCCTCCCAGGTTCAAGTGATTCTCCTGCCTCAGTCTCCCGAGTGGCTGAGATTACAAGCATGCACCACCACGCTAGGCTAATTTTGTATTTTTGGTAGAGATGGGGTTTCTCCATGTTGGTCAGGCTGGTCTCAAACTCCCTACCTCAGGTGATCCGCCCACCTCGGCCTCCCAAACTGCTGGGATTACAGGTGTGAGCCACCGTGCCCGGCCTGTAGCAGCATTTTTAAGGAACTCATGGAAAGAATGATCCAAAGATATTTTACTCAACTAAGCTTCTGTTCAAATGTCAATAAACTCACATAATGAGTTTATACCTGAAAGGACTCAGCCTGTTCACAATTGTCTTTCTAGAGGAAACTACGAGAGAATGGTCTTTATCCAACCAAAAGATACTGTGAAATTTGGGGTGAAAGGACTGACAGTGAGCATTTAATATATATAATTATAAATGTAACATGAAAACAAGGATGATGAAAATGATGGAAAATATTGTATAGATATGATTTCACAAAGAATAAAGAATTCAACTTAAAAAATCAAAAAAGGAGTGAAAATTTAAAAATAAGTTAATTGATTGTTGGAGTGGAGATTAAGAGATAATCATTTTACGCTGACAAACCAACCATAGACATGCACGACATGATGACATTTCAGTCAACAACATATCTCATATATAACAGTGGTCCTATAAGATTATATTACTGCATTTTTAAAGTATCTTTTCTATGTTTAGATTCACAAATATTTTCCATTGTGTTCCAATCACCTACAGTATTCAGTACACTCACATGTTGTACAGGTTTTCGACCCAGGAGCAATAAGCTATACCATATAGCCTAGGTGTGTAGCAGGCCACACCATGTAGGCTTGTGTGAGTCCACTCTATGATGTTCATGCAACAACTTGGTTGCCTGACAACACATTTATCAGACTGTATCCCCGTTATTAAACTATCCATGACTGTAACAAATGTAAGAAAAAGGGGAATTAAAGGTGCTGTAAAAGGTAAAAATAAAAAGATAATCACTAGAACAAATAAGACATCACATTTTCAATATACTAAAGGAAATTGTTTTAAAGTGCAAAGAAATTTATATAACACCCATTTTAACTTCCCAGAAATAGTCAGTTAACTAGAATTATTTCCAGTGTCTCCTTCTCTCTTCCAACCCTTTTTCTTTCTCTTTCTCTCATGCATTCTCTCTCTTTCTTCATGTGCATTATTACTATAAACTTGAATTGTTGAATTGTATTTTCATTTAATATTTTGTCATGAGCATTGTCAGTGACATCAAATGTTCACTAAAACATGACTTTTAATAGATTCTTGTATATTCCATATAATGGATGAATTGATATATTTGTTCTAAAATCTTACTGGCTCATTGTGTTTTGTAATCAAGAGTGTATTCATTTATTTATTCACTTAAAATGCCTTTATAAGATGCCACATGTTGTACATGATACATCTATGAGCAGGACAGAATTATCCTCTGCCTGTCTAGGAAGAAATTTAAGCAAATAATAATGTGAACTGCACCTGGGAACAGGAGATTAAGACCATTCAATTATACTTCCTGAAGGTCTCTATTTTAAAATTGTTTCTAAAAGTACCATTTCTCCTTGACATTTTTCTTTCTCCATAATTGGGAATACATGTACATTCACCTTTTCATTCTACAAAATTTTAAGTTTATATAAAACATGTTGAACCTATTTTTTTCTTTAACTATCAGTAGCATTGATGGTAATGGTATCTTAACTCTTAATATACAACATTAGCTGTTCTTGTTTCCTCTTCTGTTCTCCCTCCATTATTAGTTTTGTTGTTATGAACTGGAACTTTGGATTCATATTTTATGAATAATCATGTATTATTCACCAAATATCATCTTTAAAGAATTGTTTTAAACATTTGCCATATTCTATGAACATTGTAATGACTATTAATTCTGTATGCATCTGCTATTGTTCATAACCTCAGTCATTTTATACCACAACTTGTTCATTTTTGAATTTCTTACGTCAACTCCTTTTTTGGTTGGCTAGAGTATTTTAAAATATTTTTTCTAGGAAAGCAGTATCTTTGTTGATATTTAAATATATTGTTTGTATAACATTTTAAAGGGCGATTACTGTAATTTAATCAAAAAAGAAGTCAGTATGTTTTGACAAAATGTATTCTTGAAAAATGAAAAATTATTAATAATCAGTTTAAATTTCTTTGATATGCAAATGTACATAATAGGTAAATCTACAGAGACAGAAATTACATTATGCGCTGCTTGGGGCTGCAGGACTGAGTTGATGAGGGGTGATGCCAAGGGATATGGTGTGGAGTTTCTTTGGGAAATAATGAAAATATTGCAAAATGCATTGTGGTGATGGCTGCACAAATCTATAAAAACACCAAAAGCCATTGAACAGTTCACTTTAAATGAGTGAATTGTATGGTTTGTGAATCATATCTTGATAAAGCTGTAAAAAAGAATCAGCTTATTATTTTTACTGTTCAGTAGTCAATTTGCTGAAATTTATCTTCCTGAAACCAGAGACATCATTTTGCTCATTTATCTCCAAGCTTTTGGCATCTCTTCTCTTCACCAGGGTTTCAGACTCAAAGTATAAACTAGATACAAATCACAGCATCAATACACATTTCACTCTGACTTGGCTTGATATAATAATACAGATTTAAAAATCATTCCCAATGTTTACACTTATTTCTACTTTGCTTTTATCTGTGTCTCTGCTGTCTCATGTTATGCTCTCCTTACGCTTTCAACTGATTAGCCAAATAAGCTGTAAAGAATGGATTTGACCTGGCCAACTAATTCATGTTTTTGTTTAAGGACCCATCCTGTGACCCTAGGAAACATCACATTCCACAAAACTCCATCACAATGGCCAAACCGTTATGCCAAATGCCAAAAGTTCTAAAGTGAAATTTAGGGCAACAGAAGAAATTGGAAAAGACATTTGGAAATACAAAGAGATTTTCGAGGATCCTGAAATCAGGGCACAGGTGCAGCTGCCAGCCCTGCCTCCTGTTCATGCTGGCTCTTGAGTGTCCCTGGTTTGTACTTCCACTGTCTGCATTAAACTTCTGGGGACCATTAAGGCTGATATTTCTCCAAGGAGCTCCTCTTCCCTAACTTGGGTGGCTAAATGGCACCTTTATATTTAGTTTGGTTTTTATCCTCTCCTTCATGGTCCTCTCCCCTACAAATTATAGATGGAAGATGTTTAAGGCCAGTGCTATGAAGAAATTAATAAGTTCAAATACAGTATCTGAGGGGGATTGGTTCCAGAACCTCCTGCAGATACCCAAATCCAGGTATGCTCAAGTCCTGATATACAATGGTGTAGCATTTGCAATCTACTCACATTCTCTTTATACTTTAAATCATTTCTAGATTAAATACCTAATAGAATGTAAATGAAACCACCCTCATAGGGTTAACAAGAACTAAATGGTGGGTTCTGGGCAGAACTACAGTAATAATTAAGCATTAATCAGGCTGCACTCTGGCCCACTTCCTTGTAACTGAAAGTCAGGTAGCACTAGGTACTGACCATTTGCACCCCCATTGCTCCTGTAGATAGGATTTCGATGTTAGAATCCTAAGGCTTTTGTTTAAGAATTGATTTGCATACTTGTTCCTATAAGTAGAAACATTGACATAAGAATCACAAGGCATTTTGTTTAAGAACTGCTTAAGAGGGTCTTTAGATCCTAAATTCCAGTGGAAAGGCTGATGCCAACCAATTTAAAGACTTCCACAGAGAAACCCAATCAGCAGGAGAGTGCAGTTTCCTCATCTTCCCATCCCATGACTTTACCTTGCACTCCTATCAGTCAGTGATCCCCATACCTCGGCCTACTGCAAACTACCTAAAATCCCTAGCCCAAACTTTTTGGGGAGGTAGATTTGAGGTTTCCTCCCATCTCCTCGTTAGGCTGCTGTATAATAACCAAACTCTACCTCTGCTGCCATCCCCAGTGTCTCAATATATTGGCTTGCTGTACATCATGCAAGCGAGCCTATTACATACATGCTATGTAAACAGTTGTTATACTGTATTGGTTTTTATTTTCATTTTTTATTGTATTGTTATTTTTTGTTGTTCTTTTTCTTGAATATTTTTGATCCATGGTTGGTTGAATCTGCAGATTTGAAACCCACAGATACAGAGGACCCACTGTAATTCCTTTTTTTTTTTTTTTTTTTTTTTTTTGATGGGGTCTGGCTCTGTCACCCGGGCTGGAGTGCAGTGGTGCAGTCTCAGACCACTGCAACCTCTGCCTACCGGGTTCAAGCAATTCTCCTGCCTCAACCTTTTGAGTAGCTGGGATTACAGGTGCTGACCACCATGCCCGGTTAATTTTTGTATTTTTAGTAGAGACAGGGTTTCACCATGTTGATCAGGCTGTCTGGAACTCCTGATCTCAAGTGATCTGCCCACCTTGGCCTCCCAAAGTGCTGGCATTACAAGCGTGAGCCACCGCAGCTGGCTTCCTTTTTCATTTATGTTACATTATTGAAACTTTTAATAAATTTTGGCATTTTTTTCTTCTCTTTGTCTAAAAGAATGATAAAAAGTCTTAAAAATTCAGACAAGACATTTATGAAGCCTTAGGGGAAAAAATAAGAAAAATACAAATGGAAAAAGCATGCTTTTTGAGAAGGTTACCAGTATTCTTCTGGATACTTTTTTTTAATAACTAGAAGAAGGACGACAAAAAGCCATATGAATATATTGTTACATTAAGTCGGCACCACTTTCTAGTTTCTGGAAGTTTGTGGAAATGAAGTGAACATGGATGACACCTTACAGTGAGCATCAGCCAAGAAGGGAAGTCTTGCCTCCTTGGGAGCTGAAAAAATGAAAGTGGACTCTAAGGCTTTGAAAGAGCCTTCCAATGCCCTGCCATTTACTACCACCCACTCTGTCCAGATCCAGTAATTATGGTAATTACTGTCATTGGTAATTATCAAATCATTCTTTGGGTGAAAATGGTACGATCATCCCTGGTAATCTGCTGCTGTTTAACCAAACTGCAAATGTAATCTTTAGCTAGCTTTGGTCTATCTTGGTACTCCTTTGCTTCAACATAGGCCCCATTCTCCCTCTAATGTCCTGTGGAAATGAATGCCTATCAGTTTTTCCTGGGTTTTGATGTTGTTTACTCTGGTTTTTCAATTTAAATAGTGCACCTTTTTGCTCCATTTATCTTCTTTGTTATTTTTCAGGTGGATCATCAGAAACTTCCCTAAGAGATTTACTCCTAACTCAAACTGTAGAATCTAGAACTATATATCCTCTCCTAGTGCCCAGTATTTTAATGGGGTCCTCTTGCAGCACTGCTGTGATAATATATTCTCATGTCATACTTACCATCTCAGGAAATGACTGCACCCCTGACTCACATCAAGCTCATGGTCCACCACGCCTGCCCTCTGGTCTTTCTCTCTCTCACTTGCATGTAACTCCTTCTGTCAATTGACAAAGTTAGGTTTGACTTTATAAGAAGAACCTTTTCTTTGTTTCCCTTGCCCTTTTGCAGGTTTCCAGGGAGGCACAAGTGTCAGCTGTCAAGGCAGTTTTTAATTATTGACTCATCAGGCTTGGCCTTCCCAGGGGAAAGGGAAACTGCTATTTCGCATTTGTGCTACGGAGGGCAATGACTAAGATATGATAAATAAATAACAGTGCATGATGGATATCTGATCCTCTGCAAGCCACAAGAGAACACTTCTGTCAAAGCAGCCATGCTTCTGTCTCCTTTTAACAAGGCATCGTCCTTTAGCAGCCACAGCTGCCACTGTGAAACAATGAGCATGTGCTCAGAGCACCCATTTTTTCTATGCTTAGAAAAAGAGGGTGGCAACCTTCATAAATCCTACATTGTAGGGCTTGTCTATTTCATCCTTCCTCTGCCCTGCTTTAAAGGAAGAAGAATGGAAATGAGATTTCCTCCCTGAAGACCTAGATGCATGACCTTGCTACATCATTGTAGGACTCTTAGCAATCCACTGTCTTTCCGTTCTTCAGTTTCCTTATCTATAAAATTGAGATATCACTTCACTCTGCCTATACTACATCATTACTCTGAGACCCTGTGGAAATAATATGTATAAAAATATAAAAAGAAGGGGGCCAGGGGCTGAAAACTTTCTATTGGGTACTATGTCCACTATCTGGGTGATGGGATCGATAGAGGCCTGAACCTCCGCATCACACAGTATACCCTTGTAACAAACTTGCACATGTACCCACTGAATTTATAATAAAAATGGAAATTTAAACAATTAAAAATAAATATATATGTAATAATATACATTTTATTTGAATTATTAGCTGTTTTCTTCTCTTTCCCTATTTCACTTTTTTTAAGCTCTGCGAAAGCTGAGGCTTTCTTTTGCTCACTGCGTGCCTGACACATGGTGAGCACTCATTCAATATTTAAGGAATAAATGCATTAGACAATGAAGAAATGAGTTATGTATCTACCATGCAGCTACTGTGGCTGCTATTGGGTCATAGGAAAGTGCGTAAAATAGGCATAACCTCTGCCTTTGTGAGATTTATAATTTCACTGGAAACATAGAATGCTTCTAATAAAGACATCAACTTTCCCTTAAATTAGACAGGACTGGAAGAAACAGGGATGAAGAAAAAAAATAAGTGAAAATTTGAAGCTGTCAAGTTTATCTTTAGGATCCAGCTTTTTTCTTGTTGGTCTATATCTCCCTTCTGTTGACTTTCTTCTGCTCTACTCTCCTCATTCCGTTTGCCCCCTTACGGCCAATTCTGGTTTTCTCCTATTTGCAAACTCTTCTTATGAAAATATATAGGTGATTTTTATAGCATTAATGCATCTCCCTTTGGGATTTTCTATGTAGATGATTATGTCATCTGAAAATAAAGAAAATTTTTTTTCATTTTTAGTACATATGCCTTTTTTTCCCCCTAGCTTGTCTTATTGCATTGGCTAAATAGCCAGTATAAAAGCTTTCTTCGATTCCTAGTTTTGCTAAGAGTTTTTCCTGCAATAGTGCTGCATTGTGCCAACTTTTATTCTGCATCTAATGAGATGCCCATATTATTTTTCTTTTCTGTTAATATGTCAAATTACATTGATTGTCTTTTCATTGCTAAACCAACTTTGCTTTTCTAAAATATGTCCCACGACCCATAATATTTCCTCAACTTTTATATATATATTGCTGGATTTAACTTGCAATTTTTTAAATTTTGGCGACTATGTTCATGAGGGATATTTGTGTGCAGTATATTTATTTTGGAAATATCTTTGTCCATCTTTGATATTAGTATTTTGATGATCCAATAAAACAACTTGGTGTTTTCTACTCTACTTTCTCAGTATTTATGTAAGATTGGTAGTTTAACATTCTTAAACATGTAGTAAAAGTCACCACTAAAGCAACCTGGACCTGGAATTTTCTTTATGGGAAGATTTTTGATAAATAATTGAATTATTTTAAAGAACATATGAGTCTTTATATTTTGTTAATCTTTTTTCAGTTTTTGATAAGTTTTTAATTTCATGGAATTTAGTCATTTTGTCTGAGTTGCCAAATTTAGGGGCGTATAATTGTTCATAACATTCCCTTAGTATATTTTAATATCTGTGCATCTATGCTGTCATGACAATAAAGGACAAAATTCTGTTATTTTCTCTATTATTTATTTATTATTTGTTTATTGTGACAGGGTCTCACCCTGTCACCTAAGGTGGGGGCAGTGGTGCAATCATGGCTCACTGCAGATGACCTCCTGGCTTCAGGCCATCCTCCCATCTTAGCCTCCCAAGCAGCTGGGACTACAGGTGTGCACCACCACATCCGGCTAATTTTTTATTTTTTTGTAGAGATGAGGGTCTCACTACATTGCCCAGGATGGTCTTGAATGCCTGGCCTCACCCATCTTCCTGTCTCAGCCTCCCAAAGTGCTTGAATTACAGGTGTCAGCCACTGTACCGGTAGTTTTTTGTTTTTTATTTCATGGATATCTACTCTAATCTTTATTACTTCCTTATTTTTGATAACTTTGGTTTTACTTTGTTCTTCTTCTAAGTTCGTCAAGTATACCTATGGATCTTTGATATTAGACATTTTCAGTTTTCAAATATAATAAACATTTAATGCTATAAAGTTTCCTGTAGATTTTATTCATTTTGATTTTTATATTTTCATTGTAATTTGGTAAAATTAATTTAAATATCTCTTGTAATTTATTCTTTGGTCTATTGAGGACTTACAGATATCTTATTGTTACTAATTTATCATTTAATTTCATCGTGATTAGAAGATATAGTCTGCAAAATTTCACTCCGTTAGCATATTGAAATATTCAAACATTTTTGCCATATTGAAACTTCTTTTATAGCCTAGAACATGGTCTATTTTGGTAAGCATACTAAGTACACTGAAGTAGAATATGTATTCTGGTATAATGTTCTATAAATAATAATTAGTTAAAAGAAGTGCCTAGTGTTGTTCAGGGCACTTATGGCCTGACTGATTCTGTGTCCAGTTCTATCAGTTACTGAGAGATGAATGTTAAAATTTCCAATGAAATACATGGATTTTTCTGTTTCTTTTATCAGTTGAATCAATATTCACAGAACTATTTTGAAACTCTGTTATTAGCCATATACGTATTTCTGATTAGTATAGATTCCTGAAGGACTGAACATTTCATCATTATGAAGTGTCCTTTTTTTTAATCTCTTGTAATAGTCTTTGTCTTAAGTCTATCTTATGTTAAGATAGCCACTCCAGCTTTCTTATGGTTATTGCTAACAAAGCATATATCTTCCATTCTTTATTTTAAACTCTCATTTTCTTCACATTTAAGTGTGTTGTGTGCTGCTGTTGTATTAGAATTGAGTCATGGTTCTTTTTCAACTCTAATAACATCATCCTTTAATTACAATGTTTAGTCCATCTCCATGCAGTGTAATTACTGATAACAATTGAGATATAGCTAGAAGTTTCTATTTGTTTTCTGTGTTTCCAATTTTTTTATTCCCCATTCCTATTTCTTGCACTTTTTTTTGTTAATTCAATATATTTTAGGATTCTACTGTAATTTATCTAATGACTTTTAATCTATCCTTTTTTCTGTTGCTTTTAGTGAGCTTGATGTACAGACTAAAATCCAAATCATTAACTTTTCAAACTACTTAGAGTTACAATTATCCAACATCATATAAAAGAATCTTGCAATTGTGCTTTTGTTCTTTTTAATGTAATTTTTCATGATTTACCTCAACATACATTACAAACTCCCAAATAAAACTTATAAATTTTGCTTTAAGAAGCCATTTAAATTATACAAAAATAATATAGAGAAATATGTCTTATAAAATTGTATATAAATTTTTATATAATCATACAGGAAATAAGATAAAAATTAAGCTCATATTTATATGCATATTTATCATTGCCATATCCCTCATTTCTCTCTGAAGATTCAAATTTCCATCTAGAATTATTTCCCTCAGTCTAAATAATTGCTTTTACATTTCTTTTGGTACACATCAGTTTAGAAACAAGTCTTTTCATTTTTTATTTATCTAAAAATATCTTTTTTTGGCCTTCATTCTTGACTTATACTTTCAAGATATAGAACTCAGAATCGGCAGGCCTGGGTTTTCCCCTTTCAACAGTTTATGTATCATGTTTGCCTAGTTTCCAGGTTCCCTTGTTCTGAACAGAAGTCAATATTATTCATTTAATATAATGTGCCATTTTTTTTTTTTGCTTTCTAGATTTTTTCTTTTTCTTTTGTCCTCAGCAGTTTTACTATGATATACCTAGGTGTGGTTCCTTTGTATTTATTCTGTGTGGAGCTATTTGTGCTTCTTAAATCTGTAAGCTTATACCTTTCATTTATTTGTGGATTTTTCAGACATTACTTCTTCAAATGTATTCTTTGCCTGTTCTCTTTCTTCTCTCCTTTTAGAATTATTACATTTTAAACTTATTCCATTTTTTAAATTACATTTTTTGTAAGTCATTTGGTATTGCCAAACATAATTCTGTCTTCAATGTTTTTTTTATTTCTCTTCTTCACAATGAACATTATGTTAATCAGTTTTAAAGTTTTTTGGTTATTTCTTCCCTCATCTCTAGTCTTCTGTTGAAGCCATTCAATAAAATATTCTTTATTTTAAACATTTTAGTTCTCAGTTTTAAGATATTCATTTGACACTTGTTTATAATATTTATTTTTCTATGGATATTTTATTATCTGTTCCTTCATTATAAGCATATATTTCTTTCATACTTTAATACAGTTAAAATAGCTGCTCTAAAACACTTGTATGCTAATTCCAATACAAGGATACCAACACCTCTAGGTAGTTTTCAATTGATTGTTTCTCCTCTTGATTATGGTTCAACTACACTAGTTTCTTAATATGTCTAAATTTCTAAAAAAAATTTTATTGATACATAATATTCGCACATATTTAATGGGTACATATGATATTTTGATACATGCATAAAATGTGTAGGAATCAAGTCAAGGTATTTAGGAATCCGTAACTTCAATGATTTATCATTTCTTTGTGTTTGGAACATTTCAATTCTTCTCTTCCAGCTGTTTTGAAATGTAAACTATATTTTTGCTAACTCTACTGTGCTTTAGAACACTAGAACTTATTCCTTCTCTCTAACTGTATGTTTGTACCATCTACCCCTCAGCATGCACACACACACACACACACACACACACACACACACACATACCCTTCCCAGACTCTAATAACTATCATTCTATTCTCTATCTCCATGAGATAAACTTTTTTAGCTTGCACATATGAGTGAGAACATGCAATATTTGTCTTTCTGTGCCTGGCTTACTTTATTCAATGATCTCCAGTTCAATCCATGTTGCTGCAAATGATATTTCATTCTTTTTTATGGCCAAAGACTATTACTTTTTATTGCATACTTCACTTTGTTGACAACACATTGTAGAGTCTGAATTCAGTTAATCTCCTCTGAACAGCAGTGGTTTATTCTAGCAGCGACTGAAATTACTGACTGATCACTTGGTTTTCGCATCTTGCTCTGTATTTGGGGTGGGGGAACCTATTTCAGCTTTGTCTTCCGTGTTAGCCATATGCTTAGTCCTAGGATGTAGTGATTACTTTTAAGGTATGATCCTCCTGGGCTTCCGTTAAGAAAACTAAAAACTAAAGTGTCCTTAACAAATCAAATCTTCTGACTTGATAGGATCCCAACATCAAATTCTGTCTCTCACGCAGAGGTCCTTAACTGAAATATCTTTTTAGACCTCCAGTTTGTTGCTTATTGGTGGGCGGTTTGGAGCCTCACACATACATTCACAGTTTGTGGGTCAAATACTTGAGGAGAATTTAGACACAAATTTGGGTACTCATCTCCTAATCAATTTATCTTTTCCAGAATCCTCACCCCTAATTTTCAGTTGCTCTGACAGCTTTAAACTCAGTTTTCTCACTCCTCAAGGTGACAATCCTGAAGTTCTTAGCTTAGGTTCTAATTGTCCTGCACCAACCCTACTGCAGAATGAGCAGTAACAATGTGAACACAGAGATCACCTACTGTCTGTCTGTCTTTCTTTCTTTCTTTCTTTCTTTCTTTCTTTCTTTCTTTCTTTCTTTCTTTTTTCTTTCTTTTTTCTCTTTCTTCTTTCTTTTTCTTCTTTCTTTCTTTCGCTTTTTCTTTCCTCTTTCTTTCTCTCTTTCACTCTTTCTTTCTTTCCTTCTTCTTTTTTTTTTTTTTTTCTCAGAGTCTCGCTGTGTCGTCCAGGCTGGGGTGCAGTGGAGCAATCTTGGCTCATTGCAACCTCCGCCTCACGGGTTCAAGCTATTCTCCTGCCTCAGCCTCCCAAGTAGCTAGGATTACAGACATGTACCACCATGTCCAGTGACTTTTTGTAATTTTAGTAGGGGGGGTTTCACCATGTTGACCAGGCTGGTCTTGAGCTCCTGACCTCGTTATCCACCCACCTCAGCCTCCCAAAGTGCTGGGATTACAGGCGTGAGCCACTGTGCCCAGCCGTGTTTGTCTTCTTTCAAGGGCTGAATCTTCTCAAATTCTGCTGGCTTTTGGTCATTCCTCAGTGTGATCAAATAATTGTATGTAACTGTGTAAGCACACGTGTGTGTGTGCGTGTATTTGTGTGTGTGTATATATATACACGTATATAAATATATATATACACGTATATATATATACACGTATATATATATATACACGTATATATATACATACACGTATATATATATATATATACACGTGTGTATATATAGTTACATATAGTTTTTAATTGTTATAAACTGCTCCACACTTTCTGAAACTGGAATTGGGTGAGAGATTTTTGTTTGGTTGTTTCGTTTTGTTTGAGTTCTCCCTCTGCCTACCTGACCTATCCTATCACTAGGTTTTTCTTCATCTCTTAAGAAAACATTTCAGCTTTGTCATTATAACTAATCATTTGCAGCTATCTTTGCAAGTTTAAAACTGGACCTTTTCTGTGTCAATGAAGAGAAATAGGTTAAGATAATAAATTGAGCAAATATGAATCAAAAGTGTGATTGAATAGGACTTCGTATCTCTCTGTTCTCACAGACTGAGCATAAAATAAACATGTTTATGAAGCAGGAACAATTATATCCTCTGGTTTTAGGACTATAAAGGGATTTTTACATCTATTAATTAAATATTATCGGCACAAATATTAAAACATTCATGGGACAATAGACAATATCTTCCCTTGTGCATTTTTTTCATATTTTTCTCCCTTCTGTAAATTAGTTTATTCAACAAAGTTTTGCTGAACATATATATTTAGGTAATGGAGATTAAGCATTTTTTAAAAAAATTCTTCAGAGGTCATAATGTAGCAGAAGAGAAAGATCATTCTTTTTCTGGTTGTATTTTGCCTTATAACATCTATTTAATTTTTGTCTTGTCTAATAAAGTGTTTCAGAATTGTTTGGGGCCTAGCTGGATTAATTTACAAATAGCCTATGTAATTCTTATAGAGCGAAAGTACGTGCTTCAGCCCAATTAGTACTCTTAACACAAGACTTTTAAAACAAATAAGCAAAAGAAAAAAAACCACCACCTTGTTAGAGGCATTAGAATAAAGGAACGGTTGAAAGTCAAGCTAATCATCCCCTAATTTTCTACTCTTGTACCAGGGGTAGAATAATCTCATGGTATGAACATTCTGCTCTTGCGAAGTCTGTATCTTAGAGAAGATATGATGCTTGATAAAACTCCTGAATTTTACATGGTTCGGCCACGGGCAGAGTTGGGTTTTCAGGGAAGCTTCTGTGTAGGGTGGAATTAATAATGCTCACACAAGCTCCAGTGAATAACGATGGCTTCACTGCTGTATATGCCCTTTAGAAGTCTCCACACACATGTATTCATCAAGTGCCTATCTGTTAAAACAGGGTCAGCTTATTCCTCCCCTCTAAGACACCTAAAAAAACAGACTCCCTGGTTTCTGTCCTCTGAAGTGGAGATTAATTTCACTAAGGATTAAATAAGTTTAATATATCAAATTATTTTTTTCAGATTAATCTAGTTAGCTGGTAGAAATTTGTTTTCAGAACAATACATATGGATTGTTCTCTTCTTCCTATTTGTATGGAAAAACCCCTTTTAAATACTAAAAATTATTATTAGAAGTCACTCCTGTTTTATCTGTTTTATCTCTGGACACTGTATTTATTCAAAGATTACTTCTCAAACCCCAAAGTCAAAAAACCAGCCCTTTAAAGTTTTACTTGATATTTCTTAGACATGATGTCATTTTTTTACCAGATCTTAATGAAGTTGTGAACTGCTTATAAAAATCTGGGGCTTTTATTGGGGTTCACCCCAAAGCCTCATCAAATTTTAACATCTAACAAATGCTCAATAAAAAGTCATTGTTTAATCCCAGAATAGAAAACTACTATCAAATATTATTGCCAACAAAATGATAAGCATTCACCAATAGCATTTTTCTCTATCTCTCTTTTTTTTCTTTTGGAGACAGAGTCGCTCTGTTGCCCAGGCTGGAGTGCAATGGCACAATCTCAGCTCACTGCAACCTCTGCCTCCCACGTTGAAGCCATTCTCCTGCCTCAGCCTCCAGAGTAGCTGGGCTTACAGGTGCACACCACCATGCCCAGCTAATTTTTGTATTTTTAGTATAGACAGGATTTCACCATGTTGGCCAGGCTGTCTCGAACTCCTTGCCTCAAGTTATCTCCCCACCTCGGCCTCCCAATGTGCTGGCATTACATGCCTGAGCCACTATGCCTAGCTTCTATATCTCTTTCTAAAAGGGCGCAGCCCCTTGCTGGGAGTTTTTGTAAAGGTGAAGTGCTAGGTTCATGATGGAGATATGCTTCCTTCTTTAAGACAAATTTGAGAAATTTGAGAAAGAAACTTATCAGATTTTAGGAAAAGGATAAACCAACCAATTTGAGGTAGGAGGTGAAAGACTAATGATAACTCAATATGAATCCTAAAATTATATGTCGAGGAAAAAATAAGACATTTAAGGAGAAACGAGGCTACTGCACCTGGAAAGGGGCCCAGATGCTCCCTCTCAACTCAATCTTTGAACACTGACTCTGTGTATTTACTAAGCATCCTTTAGAAGGGAAAACAAACAAGGCTGGCAGGTCTTTTCTTGATTCTAGTTCATCCATCAGGAGTGGACCTTCCTTGGGCTCTGGCTCACGACTGGGATTTCTATCCCAACAGAAGTGAACACCCCTCTAAACAGCATTTCACATAATCTAGCTCATTAAGCACTCAAGGCAATCAGAAGGTTAAATTACACAGAACAAACACCAGTGACTTGTGTACATGTAGTAGGAGGAAGAGGTGTCCCTGGAGGGCAGAGAGTGGCAGGGCTGGTAATTTTATGAATTGTATCGTTAACAAAATATATTTTATTCTATTTGATGCTGACTTTGGGAAGTTCCTGTGTGATGATTACATTTTTAAGCAGACAATTTTTTTATGACTTTACCCAAGGCTAAAGAGAAATCTAATACAAAATTCAAAAAGACTTAGCTGAAATGCCCATTAAAATTTTAGTTGTGTCCTTTTAGGAGTTTTTAAGAGCTAAAAATTCAAAGCTGCCCAAAACAGAAAAAGAGGTAACTTTAACTATTGCATAACTCAGAGTGGGAAGCTTACAAACAAAAGTATGATCGTTCTATATTTTTAATTTAAAAATTTTAGAAACTCTTATTTTCCTGGTTCTTAATATTTAAGGAAAGTTTGTGTATAGAGACAACTATCTTATTATTGACAACTGGAATTTTTTTCAAGTTAATGAAAGACAAGTTATTATCTTTTCTGATATCTTACAAACCTAGAAGAGTGCTTTGCCATAAGTTAATTAATTATGAAGTTTTAAATCTACATAATTACAGCTTTGTTGACATCAGTACCTTCTATTTTTCAGAATAGTGCAGAAAGGTGTATACTAAACAACATTTGGAAGAAGAAAAACCTGGCATCATTCTGAGAAAGTATTTTCTCTAACTCTGAGCATGCAGTTAATTCTATGGATAAACTGAAAGGAACAGGATGGATATTGGACAGCTTCCCTGCTTTTCTAGAATCAAATGCAAAACTATTGTTTTAATTCAAATCAATTATCAAACTGTGCCACATTATTCTTCTTATTTTTAATCCAACGTTTAAGGAGAACCTTCTGTGAGCAAGATCATTCTCTGGGCATAAGGTATATTCAAAGATAACTAAGATAGTCTCTCTCTCTCTCTCAGAGAGCTCGTAATGTGTACAGGAAATAAATTACATTTGTTGGCAAAAACCTATAGCATCCCATGGAATAAAATGTGACACAGGCAAATTGCAAAACTCACAGAGTTCCTGGTAGAAAGACAAGTGTTAATGTTAAAGCTAAGAGTATGAGCTCTAGATTGAAAATGGCTGCGTTCAAATACTAACTCGGCCAACATGTTGTTTGACTTTGGGGAAACTATTTAACTTCTCTTGCTTTAATTTCCTTACCTGTAAAATTTGGGAATAACAGTTTTACCTCAATGGACTGGTGTGAGGATTAAAGGAGATGGTAAACGTAAAACTCTTCATCTAGAGCCTGGCATGTTCTAAATCTTCAATAAATCATGTCTATTTCAATTATTAAACACCTAAAATTGTCTCATTACTCACACTTCAGATCCATCTTCCATTAGTTAGAAAAATTAACAGGTGACTATAATGTATATTCATTCTAAATGTGTGAATAGAAGTAAAAAATCTCTTCATGAATGGAATTTAGTGAGAGGGAGACAGAAAATAGATTAGATGGATCTCCAAGGTGGAAACAGTACATATAATTGCTCTAAGTATGTTTAAAATATTGAAGAAAACCAGCAAGAAGGTAAGTACGGCTGCAGCAGAATTGGCAATGAGAGGTAGTAAGAGATGAGATTTGAGAGGCAATGGATGAGGCTGATAGAATATGACTTTCTAGGCTCTTGAAAGGTCTTCAATTTTCCTTTGAATAGAATAGGAAGCCATTACAGGGTTTGCAGCCAAGAATTGACAAGATCAGACTTACATTGCAACAGGGCCATTCTGGTTGCATGTCAGAATCAATCCAGATTTGGCAAAGACGGGGTGGCTGCCGGGCAGAGGGTCTCCTCACTTCTCAGACGGGGCGGCCGGGCAGAGACGCTCCTCACCTCCCAGACGGGGTCGCGGCGGGGCAGAGGTGGTCCTCACATCCCAGACGGGGCCGCGGGGCAGAGGCGCTCCCCACATCTCAGACGATGGGCGGCCGGGCAGAGACGCTCCTCACTTCCTAGATGGGATGGCGGCCGGGAAGAGGCGCTCCTCACTTCCTAGATGGGATGGCGGCCGGGCAGAGATGCTCCTCACTTTCCAGACCGGGCAGCCAGGCAGAGAGGCTCCTCACATCCCAGACGATGGGTGGCCAGGCAGAGACGCTCCTCACTTCCCAGACCGGGCGGCGGCTGGGCAGAGGCTGCAATCTTGGCACTTTGGGAGGCCAAGGCAGGCAGCTGGGAGGTGGAGGTTGTAGCGAGCCGAGATCACGCCACTGCACTCCAGCCTGGGCACCATTGAGCACTGACTGAACGAGACTCCGTCTGCAATCCCGGCACCTCAGGAGGCCGAGGCTGGTGGATCACTGGCGGTTAGGAGCTGGAGACCAGCCCGGCCAACACAGCGAAACCCCGTCTCCACCAAAAAAATACGAAAACCAGTCAGGCATGGCGGTGCGCGCCTGCAATCGCAGGCACTGGGCAGGCTGAGGCAGGAGAATCAGGCAGGGAGGTTGCAGTGAGCCAAGATGGCAGCAGTACAGTCCAGCTTCGGCTCGGCATCAGAGGGAGACCGTGGAAAGAGAGGGAGAGGGAGACCATGGGGAGAGGGAGAGGAGGGAGAGGGAGAGTAGGGAGAGGGAGAGGGAGAGGGAGAGGGAGAGAGAGAGATCATGTCTTTTTATCCCTGGTACAAATCTCAATGTCTAGCACACAATGGTCATTTATTCAATGTTTACAAAATTAGTAAATATTTTACAGCCATATTATATTGTTATATATTGCTGATTTTGTAAGTATATAGGTGTTACAGGTATGTGTGTCATGTTAGTCCCTGAACCCCTCCCAGTACTAATTATCCAGCTATGTACAGAATACTTGGTCTTTCTCTTGAAATTAAAAAAGAAGTATGCTGCCTTTAAGGGAATATTTTAACAGTCCAGAATCTGTGGATTTTCAGATTTAGAAATAGTCTTTTCACCGATCTGTATCCTATGCCAGAGATTCCAGCTGTTTCTAGTGCACTATTAGCGTGAAGAATTTCGACATGGAAGAAAGACCATATTGTTTGAAGCCAGAGTGACTGTAATTAGAAATTACAGTCCTATTTTGTAAGTTATTTTACCACTCACATGGCCTGTGCCTACCTATGGGGTTGCATATTAAATGAGATATTGTGGACCAGATCAAGGTTAGTACATAGTGAGCATTCAATAAATTATAACTAAATGACACGGTACTTGGATATAATATTTCTATTTTTTAATTATTTATTTATTTTTTATTTCTTTTTGAGATGGAGTCTTGCTCTTGTCACCCAGGCTGGAGTGCAATGGCATGATCTCGGCTCACTGCAACCTCTGCCTTGTGGGTTCAAGCAATTCTTCTGCCTCAGCCTCCTGAGTAGCTGGGATCACAGGCACCCACCACCTCGCCAGGGCTAATTTTTTGTATTTTTAGTAGAGACGGGGTTTCACTATGTTGACAAGGCCGGTCTCGAACTCCTGACCTCAGGTGATCCACCCACCTCGGCCTCCCAAAGTGCTAGGATTCCAGGCGTGAGCCACCGCACCCAGAAATATTTTTATTTTTAAGACAAGTTGTCATTGAAAATTATCCAGTTGGAGAGCACAAGTTATCTTTGACTATATTTTGATTAAGAAAAAGTCATATGAGTGGAAGCCCACTGTTATATAAATGTAAGACTCCTAGGTATCCAATGACCTAGGGGAAAATATTGTAATCAAACTTATTTTCATACCCTGAAGAAGGCCAATCATATTCAACAGGTGACATTTGGACGAAGAGGCAAACTAAAGAACGTCAATGAGAGAATGGATCTTCCCCACTGAAAAACCACAGAGGCTTCTGCAAGTGTTTGGATCAGAAAGAACATCATCATTTCAGTGAACAAGACAACTTTACACTAGTTGGGCCAGTATTTTACTGATTGGCAAGAGTACAAGAAACAAGAGTAGAGGAAGTCCTCTAGTGGAGACGTGAAAGAGAATAGAATTACTTTATTCTCTTACCAAACGCATTTGAGCAGATGAGCCTCCTTGGCTTCATGAACAATTCTGCCAAACTGTCAAGTGGAGACTCAAGTCAGTTTTAATTTGAAAATTGAGTCCAGGTGCTGTGGCTCACGCTTTTAATCCAAGCACTTTGGGAGGCCAAGGTGGGCGGATCACTTGAGGTTGGGAGTTCAAGACCAGCCTGGTCAACATGGCAAAACCCCGTCTCTACTAAAAATACAAAAACTAGCCAGGCGTGATGGCAGACGCATGTAATCCTAGCTACTCAGGAGGCTGAGGTAGGAGAATCGCTTGAACCTGGGAGGTGGAGGTTGCAGTGAGCTGAGATCATACCACTGCACTCCAGCCTGGGGGATAAAGTGAGACTCTGACTCCAAAAGAAAAAAAAATTGAATAAAGAAGTAACCTTATTTGATATTAGCCAGTGAATTAGGTCATAACAATTACATGAATGTTCCTAATTCACTCATTATCAAGTGACATCTTCATAGAGTCATGTCAACAGAGAAATAGAATGGCCCACTGTTTCTCTCTTGTCTGGTTTCTCTCTGTGTCAGATGTTTCTCTGAAGCTCTTTATCTCAGTCAGCCAACTAGGACCAAGCTACTGAAACCAAGTTCTCTTTTATTTTCAGTTAACATTTCTACCCTGCTTGGTTTGCAGCACACTTGACAGATAGGGAAAAAAAAAAAATAAGCAACTGAATACTTTTATTCCCTCCTTGGAGAAGTTGCCAGCATGGCTTGCCTTCCTAGAAAAGCCATAAGCTTTTAGTAGTAGGTACTATCTTATGCTTAATGTTTGCTTCTCCACAACAACCAGTGCAGTGAGCAGATGTATGACTGACGGGTTAGTGACTTGTGGAAATACTTTTCATGGTAGGTAGTGAACCCAAGAGCGAAGAAAACTCTCTGTCACAGATGAAATTTCCAATACCCCTGCAGTGCTAATCACAATTTTCCTGTTGCTTTACTTATTTGACATCGATTTCACATCAGCCTCCACTATGCACTACTCTACTGTTGATGTTTCATTGCCTTTACATTGGCTCTCTTTTGCCCACTACCGAAAATCTCTGGAGACCTTTTTTTTTCCTGTTGTTTTTTGGTGGAAAATGTCAAGTCTGTAAAAATTTAAAGTTTATGCAAAGACCAAAAAAAAGGCAGTTGGCAGAAAAACTTTACTTGACATCTTGACATGTCTTTTTCCTCCACCACTAACACCACCACTTTTGAGCCTTTTCATCTTGCTTTTGTTATTCTGTTCTATGACAGCAATTATATTTAGTACCATGGACTATCTCCATTCTTAAAAGCAAAGAAATTTTAATTATGCCAAAGGCTAAGTATCATTTAATTACACTTTTTAAAGAACGCTAAAGGCACTAAGAATATATAACTGCCAGGTGAACTTAGTGAAGTAGCGAGATTAGGCAGTACAGTTCCAATTCAATGAGCAGCAGCCTGGATTTAAAGAATATAAATGAATAGAAGAGAAAATGTGATTAAAATGTCAGTCCTGCCAATGGTCAATTACCTTCCTCCAAAAATACACTAATAGACTTCCTCAAGCAGTTTATTGTGTCTCTTATCTGCACCATCACCTTTCTTTGTGGGTTGGTGAGGTCTCCAATATGGTTTCCCAAATAGTTTCTTACTACTGAAGCAGAGGTAAGCCTTCAGAAATTATATTATTATTATTTGACAACCAAGAGCTTGCATTTTCTGTTCTGGTTTATCTTCCTAAAAGGAATTGCCGCCTTAGGATTTTCAGCCATAGTATTCTCTGCCTCCAACTCACAAGAGACCAAAAAAAAAAAAATGATATGGGTAATTGGGCAAACAGGATAGAAATGACTCAAAAGTATTGAAATTATAATTGGGTAAGGTAAAAAGTGGAGAGATTAAATCTAAGATCCAAAGAGCAGATGCTCATCACAACATCCCTCACTATGAAGAAGCTCTTCCAATATTAGGCTCCCCAGAATCACCCATCACCCACATCTACTCTGTTCCAATTCAACCTCTCCAGGTTACTGTTTTAAGACTTTGATTTTATTATCTATTCAGTTTGATCATTCAAATATATATATGTATAGTCTGTATAATATAAAATGTATATTTATATAATAAATATATGTATATATAAAATTTATACATTATAAAATATTAAAAATGTATTATATATTTTATAATATATAAATAAAACAATATATTTACACAATATATTTATATATAATATATTAATAATTATATTATATATTATATAAGTTATATATTAATATAATATACAATATATTATATATGAATATATATTTATAATATGAATGAAAATATATAATACATATTTTATAGACATGTAAATATATATGTTTATATATGTTTACTTAGTACCTCCTCTGAGCCAGTTATCATGTTACAGAAAAGGGATAGGGAAATAAAATAGCATATGGTGCTTTTTCTAAAAGAACCACACAGTCTCTCACAAAAACTTCCACCAAGTGCAATGGAGCATAGAAGAAAGACTAACCAACAATATCTGGGGACACCAGGAAAAGCATCACCGGTGCATAGAGCTAGAGCTTTGACATAAAAAGTAAGTGGTAGGGAAGACAACCCATTAGAGAGGACAGCAGGGACAAGAGCACAGTGGCTTAAAAGACAATGCTACATCCAAGGAAATGCATTTGTTGAAATGGCAGTCATGCAGGATGCATTGAGGGAAAACAGAGATTACAACAAATGAAGCTAAAAAATGTGAACTGGGCACAGACTATGATAAAAGATTACATCACTAAAGGGAAGCTCCCAGAGAAGAATTTTTTGAAGAAAATAATGTGATCATTTATCCTTATGGGCAGTTAAAACTTGAGTCAAGGAAACCAACTAGAAAGTCATCAATATGTCCAAAAAGAGATAACATAGCCTGTGCGAAGGCAATGGCCATGGAGATGGAGAAGAGGAAAAAGACTGAAGATAGATACACTAGTAGTTAAAATTTACAGAATTGAGTTATACTGGAAGATAAGCAAGGAGACTGGAGAAGCTCCTTGTTTTCTGGCTCAGGCTTCTGGAGGGCTTATAGTGCCCTTAATAAAACGGAGAATACAGGAGGAAAAGTAAGTTGAGCAAATAAGACACTGTTGAGATTTAAGCATGTTTGAGTTATTTGTGGAATTTCTCAGGCATCGATGCCTAGCAGGCACTTAAATATATATGCCTGTAATTCAGGAAAGAGTTCCAGGATGGAAACTTGAATGTCAGACCCCACAGCACACAGGTGCTAATGGAAGCTATGTCTTTATACGAGAAAGCTTACAAAGTCCCTGCCAACCCGCTTCAACCTACAATTCTAGCATCATCTATGACTATTTTTCTAATCAATTTATTTCCTACAGACAGAATATTCTTTTCACCAAATCAACACAAATGTCATGCATTTTTATCCTCATGCCCTTGTTCATACTGTGACTCCCTCCTCTTCCTTCATTTTGACTCTCAACATGCTATTTTTAAAGTAAATCTACGTTCCTTTCAGTTTGGGACCCTTTCATGGCTAGGTCAATCACACCAATACTTATTGCTACTTCTTTTAAATCTCTATAGGATAACTGTCAATCTCGACCATTAACTGCTTATCTCTTAGTATTAATTTATAATTTTATACTAATTTATGTTAATGTAAAATTTTAGCTTACATGTTTATAATATTTGTGTAAGTAATTTACTGTTTGCAATTTTCTTGTATTTAAAGGTAATGAATTATACCTTACAAGATTGCATATAATATACTATGCCACATACAAAATAGGTATGTAACAAATATTTGCTGCCAGTTTTGTAATAGACATATTGCAATACTTACAATATTAATAATGCTGACAAGGCCTCTTTTAAAAAATGTAAGGTTCAAATGAAATAATTTGTTAAAAGCATATTATAATTATAAAGCATTTTATAAATTTAAGAAATATCACAATATCAAGTAAATGATAAGTGTATGAGAACTATCATACCCACTATATACAATGAGTGATTATAAGAAATTTTAGGTCATCTGATGTAACATTACAGACCAGACCTTGGATAATACTGCTTCAGAGGCTTAGACTGTTGGCCTTTAAGAGCAGGACCCCTATTTTAAGAAGTGACAGAAACATTTGTATTATGAACTAAAAAAGCAAAAAGAAGAAAAACAATTTTAGAATTATAGTCATTCTGAAGAATGTCATGTCAATTCTTTTCTTCTTGTACTTCCTTAGAATTATGTTTTAAAAAATGATGTCCACTTGTAAACATTCTTTAGAAAGCAAAAATGACCATGGAAATCCACTTTGAAAAAGAAGAAAATTGGAAGCTTACACTACCTGAACTCTAAACTTAATTGCAAAATGTTAGTAATGAAGACAGTGGCACTATGACCAAAAAAAATTAGACCAATGGAACTGAATAGACCATCCAAAACTAGGCTCATACTCATAGGGCAAACTGTTTTGTGATTAAGATACCAAAACAATTTGTTATGAAGGATCAACGAATGGTGCTGCAAATATTTGATACCATTTCTAAGAAATGAATTTTAATCTTTACCTCAGAGTTTATACAAAATTTAACTTAAAATTGATAATAGTCTTAAATGTAAAAACCAAAAATCTGAAAATTTTTAAAATTTTTTATTTCAATAGCTTTTGAGGTACAAGTGTTTTTTTGTTACAGGGATGAATTGTAGAGTGGTGAATTCTGAGATTTGAGTGCACTCATAAGCCAAGTAGTGTACATTGTACCTAATGTGTAGTTTTTTATCCTTGGCCTCCCTCTCACCGTCCTCCTTCTGAGGCTCTAAAGTCCATTATATCACTCTCTATGCCTTTGTGTACTCACAGCTTAGCCCCCACTTATAAGCAAGAATACATGGTTTTTGGTTTTCCACTCCTGTGTTACTGCACTTAGAGTAATGACCTCCACCTCCACCTAAGTTGCTGAAAAAGACATTCTTTCATCCCTTTTAATGGCTGAGTAGTATTCCATGATGCATATATATCACAAAATTTCTAAAAGAAAATAGAGAAGAAAATCTTAGTGACCTTGGGTTTGGCAACAAATTTTTAAATGGGACACAAAAAACATGGGCAACAAATGCAAAAATAAAAAATTCAGACTACATCAACATTTTTTTAAAACGTGCTCTTCAAAAGGCAATGCTATCAAATGACAGATCACAAACCTAAAGAAAATATCTGCCAAACATATGCTTGACAAAGGTCTTGATTCTAAAACAGATAAAGAATACTTACAGTTCAATATTTAGAAGACAAACAATTTTATCTAAAAACAAGCAAAACATTGAATAGATGCTTCACAAGGATATATGGATATCAAATAAGTCTAGGAAAAGATGTTCAATATCATTAGTCATTAAGAAAATACAAATTTTAATCACAATGAAATATTTCTTCACACCCACTAGAATGGCCAAAATTAAATAAAAATAAACTTACAAATTGTTGTTGAGAATGTCAATTGGATCTCACTTTCTTTGCTGTTGAGAGTGTAAAATGGCACAGCCCCTTTGGAAAAATTGTTTTGCAGTTTCTTCAAAAATTAAGTATAGATATAATATACAACCTAAATATCTCACTCTTATGTATTAACCCAAAAGAAATGAATAACTCTATGTCCAACGAAAGATTTGTACACACGTCTACAGAAGTTTTAGTTGTAATAGGAAAAGCCATCAGTATGTCCATCAGTATGTGAACGAATAAACAATTTATGATACACCCAGACAATGTAATACTATACAGCAATAAAAAGGAACAAAATATTGACTTGCACAACAAGAGGAATTTATCTGAAAATGATTGGGCTGAGTAAGAGAAACCAGAGAACAAAGAGCTCATAGTGTATGTTTCCCTTTATGTAAGATTCTAGAAAAAGAAAACTAATCTATGGGGACAGAAAGCAGATCAGTTGTTGCCCCGGGTCAGGGGAATGAGGGTAGGAGTAGGAAGAGAAAGAAAGGGATGACAAGAGGCATAAGAAAATTTTAGAGGTTTATAGATATGTCCATCTTCTTGATTGCAATCTGTATACATATGTCAAAACTCATCATATGGTACACTTTAAGTACAGGCAATTTATCAAATGTCAATTATACCTCAATAAAACTATAAAAATATATGAAAGACTAAATGTCCACCTGAAACATAAAACACAATGTCAATTGGTATACGTTCTTGAGAAAGGGAAAATCACCAGCTGAACTTCTATGTCCACCAAACCACCCACTTTGCTTTATATTTTTTTATTGAGCCTCACAAAGTCTCACATTCATGAACCATAGCCCTGTGTTTGGGTGAGGACTCTATGTCAGTAAAGCAGACAGCTTTTCTGTCATTATTGATGATGTTATTTCATTGACAAATTCCTCGTGCTTGGGACCAGGCTTTTACTGCCATATATCAGAAATCACCCTTCACCAGAGGACTTCTATGAGACACTTTTACCACCCTCTTTACAAAGTGAATCTTGAACACTTTTCTGTCATTTACAAGTTCATTTTATGGTATGTGCATGTTTCTAGGTGCATCAGTAGATTATAGGGATGTATCATATAGACCACAGTAAGAGTTATGACTATAAATTACAAAGACAATCTGAGATGTGTAAGTAATAAGCAATATCAGATGACTTCAGCTGAAAATAGAATATGCTATACATATACACCCAAGAGTAAAGAAACTAAGTCTTCTATGGAAGAAAAAGGAGCTTACCAAATGGGAGTGAGCACTGGCCTCTTGCCTTCACCAGATATTCTCAGCCTCATACACTAACAGCATCACTTGAGGCCTTAGCTGTGAGTCATTCATGACCATGAGAGTTGGGTATGTATCAGGACATACCATCTACCAACAAGACACAGTACCTGCAATTTCTCTTTCCACCATTAAAGTTGGTGTCAACTTTGAGAACTTGTATAGTCATTGAGTTGTTGAGTCCTAAGGTTTGATTTTTGGATTATCTAATTATATTTCAATTCACTTCAGTGAATATTCACTGAACCCTGCTCTATACCTTAAATCAAGGGACTACATGGATAAATACTGACCAAAATTTTACAAGCTCATGAAAATAGAAATCTAAAAATCACATAGACCTTCATGAATTTATATGTAAAATGGGAGAATAACTACCAGCTTTCTTACTAATGCGGTCACACACCTAGTTATTGTTTGGTTCCAGGGCCAATTTCTGTTACTGCCCAGAATACTCTTGCTATCACACCAGAGACCATTTTGGATTTCCTTGGGCACTGGTCCACAATTTATGTGTTTTCCAAACATTTGAACATTGTGGGTTGGCTGCTTGGTGACCCATCTTGGGGTCATCCCTTTCATTAATTGTTAGCCCTGCCCATTCCTGCCTTATTTATCTTCCCTATCAGCTTGCCTTAAATGTTCCGTGAATTTTTTACACCCAGTTATCTACAGGCTATGACACTCTGGTCAATATTAGCTCCAAGTATCATATGGACCACTTTGATATTCAAATATTTTCCCTGACTTACTACAAATTCAAGGAGGACATCCAAAGAAAGGGTAAATATCAAGGACCAAGACGTTGAATGCCAGACAGAGGTTTAAAAAAAAAGACTATAATTTTACTCAAATGTAAAATTAGAAAGAAATGATTTGGTCATTCTAGGAGGACAGTCACTAGGAAAAAATAGTTTTTCTAGAATTGTAGAATAGAAATTTGCTCACTGACATAGGGAAAGAAGAAAAATTGTACATAGGAAGATTTTTAAAATACGAAAGGACAGAGTTAATCTATGGGAGCCGGTCCTACAGAAAAAGAAGAGGTTATAAACAGGTGCACAGGAGAAAACTGCAAAGATGAGGGATGCAATTTTATGGAATGCTAGGATAGGCAAAGAGGGGGAGAGGAAGACCTCTGATAAATTTTGAAATGTTGAAGAAAGTAGAAAAACTCAAATCAGAAGTTTTCCATTTTAATCCTGCCCAGAATAATAGGTGTGGTTAGGACCTTCAGATGATATACATAGGGACAGGGATGTGAGGATGTTAATAAAGTGGAGTAATGTAGAATGGCTGCTGTGTGGGAGACTTTCCTGCATCCCCCATAGATATAGAAATAGATAAATCAGAGGATTGCTGAGCAGCGGGGAAGTTCTGAGTTTACCTAGCATGAAATGGCAGTGGGCCCAATTATCTTAGCTTTGTGACTTTCTTCAGCTCCTGCTAATAGTCCAGCAAGAAGAGCAGTGACAGGGCTTGACGGGGTTATCCAGGGTTAGGGATCTATACAGTAGGCTTGGCAGAAGGTTGGGAGTGGCAGTGGCGGATTCTAGGATGTTGATGAGGCATCACTGCCTTGTCTGAGCAGGAGTCCCAAACTTTGCAGGAAGGCAAGTGATCGAGACACAGTTGGTGGACTATAGAAAGGGGAGAGTTTCAGGGATTAGAGGCTGCGAAGACAGTAAAAGCACATGGGCAAGAATAAGATATTAGAAGAAGGACCTGGTAAAAGGTAATTTTTTTTTAAGAAAAAGAAAAAAAAGCATCACAGCGATTCCAAACGGAATGATAATGAGGTCTTTCGGGCATCTTCACCATTATGTGGCTGAAAAGGAAGGAATGTAAAGGTGAAGATAATAGCAAAAACAAAATACAAAGCAAAATTGTAAGAAAAGTGCTGTATTCATTGAGGAAAACAGGAATGCTGGATGTAGAGATAAATATGGTGAACAAGGTCACTAAAGGATGCTAAAGCAAATGCCATGAACTTCAAAGCTAAACAAATTATGGAGTGAAACACACTCTGGAAGTAGCTACAGCATGAGAGAGGTGGTTTTTTTTGGTTGTTGGTTTGTTTGTTTGTTTGACAGAGTCTAGCTCTGTTGCCAGGCAGGAGTGCAGTGGCAAAATTTTGGCTCACTGCAACCTCTGCCTCACGAGTTCAAGCAATTCTCCTGCCTCAGCCTCCTGGGTAGCTGGGATTACAGGCACACACCACCACACCCAGCTAATTTTTGTATTTTTAATAGAGACCGGCTTTCACCATGTTGGCCAGGCTGGTCTCGAGCTCCTGACCTCGTGATCTGCCCACCTCAGCCTCCCAAAGTGCTGGGATTACAGGCATGAATCACCGCGTCCAGCCGAGAGAGGTTTTTTAAAAAGTCTGATTTCATCAACTCATCTCAAGAGTTGTTAAGGAGAGGTAATATAGAAGCCTTTATTGGTAAATAATTCAGGAAAAGTAATGTAACTGGGGAAATCCAATTTTCAATTAAAGTGAGGAGAGGGAAACAGCATTAATAGAATATTTTCAAATCATAAGGAAATTTTCTTGCTTAAAATTTCCATATAAGACAATTAAAGCAGTAGCAGAAGAGAGAGAAAATATGGGAAGCTCATAAAGCAGGAAAAGATTAACCTGAAAAAAGTGGGAATGAAGAAGTCAGGAAAGAAAGGATTTGCTCCTGACATGGTAAGTGTTGACAATTGGCATCAAGGAAAGAAACCAACAGCACCTTAGAAAATGTATGCTAGAGACGTTTAAGAATTAGATAGCTTAGCTCTACTCATCTTTGCTAAATTCCTACATTTTGGCACTACTATGTACAGATAAGAATTTAATATTAAAAAAGGTTAAAATTAGAGTGAGAAAGAAATTTAGAATTCAATTCAGTCAGTAAGAAAACTGAGTCTAATGAAGTTAAATAACGTCCTATCTTACTGGATTTGGGAATAGAATTTATGTCTTTTAACCATACTGCCCCTAATTAACTGTCAATCAAAAGACTCATATTTTAGCCTAAGTTCTATTATTGACTAGCTTTCTTCTCTTTATTCTTTATCGCTTCGCTTATTTTCTTCTATTATTATTATTATTTTTTTTTTTTTAGGTATAAGTCACACAAGAAGGCAGAGAGCTTGAATCTCCCTGTGTCTCTTGGTAGTAGGGTTGGCAGTAGGGTGGGTGGTAAGGTAAACTTAAGCTGGGACTGTGTGCTAGTAATATTGCATTAGACTCATTTCTTTTCTCAAGTAGAATCACGGGGTGAACCTTTGAATTTGAATTCAGGATACTCACATTTCCACTGGCAATTTTAATCAAAATGTTATTTTATTAAAATTGCAAACAGCTATGGAGTTTTCCTTGTAGCCTGTTTTTTTTTTCATGCATTTCTCAAATTCTGTCCCTATGGAATTGTCTATAAAACATTAACAGACTTTGCTGCTGACAAAATATTTGAACTTGATAAAATCAGTCCCTGTTTGTGGGTCATAAGTCATTTGTATGTGAAATGAGGATATCATGCTACACTTATTCCTCAAGTCATGAAAGAAGATATGAGTTTGCTATGAAATTCATCTTTCCTAGTCTCTCCTTTTCCCACAAAACTTCAAAGTGTCAGGATTTCCCCAACCTCTATGGGTTCAGAAGTCTATTTAGTTCTGAAATGTGTGGCAGATGAAATCGAGATTGCAATTTATACCAAATAAAAGTTACTCATTCTCACAAAGTCCACTGTAAGCCTGAATGAATCTCAGCGTACCCTCTTCCACGTGAAACTTCAGCATTACAGGCTGCTCTGATCTCATGGTGTGTCCACATCAGCAGACTCTGTCAAGATCTTTAGGTGGACCAGAGTCAAGCACTGAAAATAAAATGCTTCACACACACACACAAAATGACATGCAGTACTACTGCTCATGTTATGTAGGCTAAACAAGTCCTATAGCCCTGCAGAATTTCAGGGGATGAGATAAGTGGAACCCTTCTATGTCCACTGATGCAAAAACTTGTTAATAATAAATAGATGAAATACTGCAGATGGAAACGTGGCATATAAATTCCATTTTTTCCCACTTTAAGTGGAAAATCGTTACTGGCTATTAATAGCCAGTAATAGCCAGTAATAATTCAATTAGCTAGGCATTATTGTATTAACACAATATTACAATGTTTGCAATAACAGACAGTTGCTCTTGTTTTGGCTTAAATTTTAGCTAAGGGGAATCTGTTGCTTTTTAAATGGTTATAAACAAAGAATATTTAAGAGTCATGAAGTTTAATCAGAGTATCCATGGATTTAATTCTCTTTATATAATTTCAAATTCTGGTTTTATTCTTTGTGGAGTTGAGTTTTTCTGTTGCTTTGTTTTGTTTAGTTTTTTTCTTTTATTCTGGTCTGGAAGTATATGTAGAGTCTAAAAGTCATTTATCCAATATGGAACTCTGTTGTATTAAATTATATATTATAAAACATTAAAATATAATTCTTACCCAGCCTGTTGCTCCATGCTATATTTAAGAAAAGACTTCTAGCAGTGTTATTTCAAAAAGAGAATTAGGAAAAGACTGCAAAAATAAAATTCACATGCAAAAAGCTTGGATTTCTCATCCATCTATGTGACAAAATTACCCCAAATTTACTCAAAATTAGTAAGTCTGAGATAGTTGTTTGGGTCTATGCTTTAGGATGTTCCTGAAGACGCATCTTACTACTGATGTTTTCTGTTTTCTTTATGTGAACTTTATCTGTGGATAGAAGGAGATTTTCACTAGTAGCCTGCCAAGGCATCATGGGAATTTTTCCAGCATGGCTTCATGCTATGGTTAGCAGACAAAATAATCAATCTATACGTTCTCTCTAGGCCCATTCACGTTTTTCTCATATAGTATGTTCCCACAACAATTACTAAGTGAACAAGCAGAATTCATGATTTTGGACCTTTGGCCACAGTTGACTGGACCAAATGCAGGGAACATGTGACCTCAAAGGAAGAGAGAGTATCTGCCTTAAAAATCCTCAGGGCTTACTGAGCTTTGACACAGATATGCCCAGGAAACTAGCTGCACTTCCCTCTCTAAGGTCCATAGAATAGTGCTTTAACTTTAGAAAAATGTAATTTTTTTGTGTTTGCTTTGCTTAAGGTATTTTCTATGGCTTTATATCCCTTTATAACCAAATATCCCTGATCGAGACCTTAGGAACATACCTGTATGATCATAATTACAATACAAAGTAACAGTTTTGAGCACTTACTATGTTTCAGACACCATTTTCAGTTCTCTGTCTCTCTCTTTTTATCTATATATATAGTGCTTGGAAGTATTTATATACATATATATGTATACATTTTTTCAGTTGTCACAATTGCTCAAGATATTATCCCCAATTTACAAATAAATAAACCAAGGCGCATAAAGGATAAATCACCTGCCAAAAATCACATAGCTAGTAAGTGGCACAGCCAGCATTCAAACCTATGAAGTCTAGCACCAGAGCGAGTGCTCTTGAAAGTGGACCATGGTAGGTCTGAGGAATTTCAAAGCCAAAAACACCCAGAGACGGAAGTCTGAGAAAGCATTGGGAATATGAGGGAGTATCAGGAATACCAGGGACTAGAGTACAGAGATCAGAATCTTGCACTAATTGCCTGAGAAGTTTGCTGAAATCCTTACTTAGAGCAATGTTGTGGAGAGGAATATGAAAGGTAAGTATGGTGGAGGAGAAAGGAGTGCTTTTGCTTTTGCCTTTTGGCCCCTTAAGTGAGAGTTTATAAAGTAAGACAACAGCTTATGTGCACTAATCATTTGCTGAGTGACTAGGTTCAGCAAGTTTCTATTTTCCCTGGGAGATAATAGATTTAGATGTTTTAAACTATAATTTTTTCCTACTGTTAATAAACTCTGAGTGCCATAGTGACTGGCAAAGATTAAATAATAAATAAATTGATGAGTTATTATAATTTTATAATCAGCTGTATCCAACAAT
Source organism: Homo sapiens (assembly GCF_000001405.40). NCBI lineage: Eukaryota > Metazoa > Chordata > Mammalia > Primates > Hominidae > Homo > Homo sapiens. The sequence continues at coordinate 35,109,329 of NC_000008.11, forward strand.
TGAATTAGTCTCTAGCACTTCATTACCAGAAATGGCACAGATTAAGCTTTCTGCTACCTGAACAGATTTCTATAAAGATACACCACAAGTCATGCTTCTAATTTCCTCCCCCTTGACAAGAGGCATTGGAGATATAGTGAAGTGTGGCTGATTTTTATCCACCGTGCTAAACAAGGCACCTTTTGTTATCTCCATCATACTCTGTTCCTTTGCGGGAAACACTTAGCATGACTCACAGTACCTGCTGGTGTCTATTACCTTGGGTTATGTAAGAGGTAAAATAAAAATGACTGGATTTAAAGGGCCAAAAGTAATAAGGACGTAGAAAGAAAATCACCTGGAGTAAATGGTTACACGAGGACATGGCAAATGTCTAGTAGCTACATGTTGAGGGTTGGCAGTGCTTCTGGGTCCCGATTTTTCATAAGGGTAAAACAAAATGTCCTACATTCTAGGCAGCAGGAAACAAATCAGCAACCCTGCAGGGAGAAATGATTGCAATTGCTCTGGCACTTAGGTCTAGAAGTGATAGGTGGATGAGTCAAAATCATTGCAGGTTGTTGAGAGTACCTTACTATTAACAGGTGAACATAAAGTCTGGTATCCAGCTTGGGATAAAGGGGATAATGTTAAAGAATATGTCTATACAACTTCTTCACAGATGAGGGCTACAAAGAAATAGGATTCATTTTTCCTTTTACCAGTGAAGTCAAAATGCTTTTTAAAAAAATTAGACACTGGAATTATGAACAAGCTACTTGTGCAACAACGTGTCACTTTCTTTGTACCTTAGAGGTCTAGCTCCAAGATCCATATATTTTGTACTCTAAATCTGGGGATTTTCTAAGTGCTGTGGCCCCTGTTGTGAAGCTTTAACTACTCAGTAATGGTCCCTATTCATCAACTTGGCTTTTTTTCCTGGCAATTTTAGAGGGTTGTCTGTCAATTTCACAGTGAGGGGAGCAGGTATATTATACCGAGCAATTTTATAATCTACAATTTTCTTATCTATTAGGTTCTTTTGTCATTGACCTACATTCAGTGAATTTAAGGATGACTTGGAAAGATAAAACTTATATACAAATTTCTGGGATTGTTCTGGTAGTTCCGGGTGGGGTCTAGAAATCTAATTTTTGAGCAAATTTGACTCAAATCTAATTTCTGAGCAACTTTGACTCAGTTGATCCCTATGTAGCTGTTCCAAAGACCACACTTTGGGAAATGTTCTCCTAGAGTCACTAGGTTTGCAGGTCCCATTACTTAGGAATAACCCTGACCTGGGTTCTGCTTAATTACCAATTTGGACTTAGGTTCAAAGAGCTGCAGAACAAAGGGTGGAGAGAAAGCCCAGGAGAGTCCGCCACAGGCCCTTAATACATTCATCTCCATGCCTGGACTGGCTGTCCCTACACTGGGAAGCAAGGCTCATTTCCATGAGTAGAGAGAAAGTTAAGAACAAGTTTCTAGGAAAGTGAAGTTTCCTAACCTCTTAGATATGTCCATTCTAATGGTCAGAATATCACTCATTTCCTATGAGCTATTGAATATTATTAAGAAAGATAAGGTGATTAATATCCTGATTGGGATCTGCAATCTCAAAAGAGTAGGTTTAATCTCTCTCTGTTATGGTTTAGAAATCCTAGAGTGTCTTTGATTGATGCCATTCTTTAAGGCTGTTAGGCATACCAAAACAATTTGTATATTTTTGTTATTATTCCTATCAAGTCCCCTACAATCCCACTTTTAAGGAGCGCATGATATAAGTCCCAAGAAGAACCTTGTGATAGTTCAATCAATTGCCAAGCAACTGTATATAATGTGGCTGATTTTGCTTCCTACCAGCCATACTCTATTTGCAATCAAAATTTGCACCTTGGTGCACAAGAAAAAAAATAGACATACTGCAAAAAATCAAATACAAAATTGGTCTTTTATGTTTCTTGGTAAAATGGATGATGGGAACTATTACATTATGTGCAACATTTCACTTAATGTATCTGTTTTCCAAAACGGTTTAATAAAACCCTCAATCTACTAAACAAAGCCCCCCCAGTATAGTATTTAGGGGAGCCAAACCATGTATGAAACTCACAACTACCCCAGTAAAGTGAGGAAGTTTCCTTTTAAAAATTGGGCCTTGTGTTTAGTTAAGCTTGCAATCCATGACTGCTTCTGTGAATTAAGAGAGATTTTTCTCTCTTCATTAACCATTAACTCCTATATGTTTCTTTCCTTTGGAATCTAAAATAAATCAAATCAGGAAATATTTTTAGCTTTTGAGTTGATTAACTGTTTTGCCAACATTTATAGAAGGTATTTGTTAGGACCTAGGGGAGCAATTTCTTAAAATAAGTACTTACAAGTTGCCTGCTATTTGCCTAAAGTGATCCTTCACCCTAAAGCGTAGTGAGATGACTGAATGTCAGTGCTATTTCTTTGATGGCCAACAATGATCCTTTCTCTAAGGGCAGTAGCCTCATTTATTTTAGATGACATTTCACAGTAATATATCATGTCTGACACTTAACCCTTTTAAAACTCAGTAGAAATAGAGGCTCCTGTTGTGTTAACGTCTATAGGAGAACCAAATGTGCTCAGGGAGGCAATTGCTCCTTGTTAAGGAAAGTCTTAGCCTTCACGGAGCCTGGTTTTTAATGTTTTTCAAAAGCTCACTGGTCAGAGTGGATAAGCCTGTCAGTAAATTGCCCGTATTAAAATTTAATTGTATTGTTTTTGTAGAATTCTGGGCTACTTCATGCAGTTGACTTTCTCTAACACCATATGTAGAATATTAGAAACAAAAGTCAAAAAAGACAACAACAAAATCCTGAAATATGAAAGCATAATGGGTATTTAGAGATGAAGGCGTTTCATTTCTTCATTTTACAAATGAAGAAAATGGATTCCAGAGGGAAGTATCACTGCTCTCTAAATATACATTTTTTAATGACTCTGTTTTTCCTACCTTTATTTGGCCTTTCAGCTCTTTTTTTCCACTTAAGGAACCTCTATATACTCCAAAGCATTAATTCACAGACTGCAGGTCCATAGCACTTTGTTCAGACAATACACATCTATAGAAGAGTATCATGATTGTGTTAAATGATTGGTTGCATGCTCATGTCTCTAATGGTAGGCAGAAGCAGTCCCTTAATTATCTTTCTATTTTCAGTTCTAACTACAATTGGAAGATAGAAGTTAGGAAACTCTGAGTGACTTGATTGATGACACATAAGTAGCCAAGAGAACCACAGAATTTTTTTTTCAACTTTCTCCAGCTAGCACTATTTAGACTTCACTCTGTTGATTCAGAGATGGTAGAAGAATTGGCATTGTCTCTTATTCTTCTCTTTTTGTCAAGATACATCTGGAAAAGGTACAAAGTGTCGAAAAGAGCCAGACACATTCTTTTTTTTTTTTTTTTTTTTTTAATGACACTGCATCTCATCTTTATGTAAAAGATAAAGGGCATTGGGATTTAAACAGCGTAGGAGTAATGTGCTGGTCACTGCCTGCTTGAGAAATTACTCAGGTTATCTGAATCTCCTTTCCTAAAAGGGTTATTGTAAAACTTAAATGAGATTATATTTGTACAGCATGGGCTAGTAGGTGTTTTTTAAAGGTACTTCTCCCCTATCTTCTCCTATAATTTGACACTTTATAATTTCCAGTTTTTTAACACACATTATCTTATTTGGGTCTTAGTACAGCCCTGTGAGATAAGGAAGAGAGGTATTATCCTCTAATTATAGACAAAGAAAATGACATGCTTAAGATATGGTTCTGAGAAAATAAAATCAGGCATTTTGTGCTTCTATTAACACAGTACCCATCCAGTGGCAAGAATCGAAGCTAGCCATTCCCATGTCTGAAGTATAGGATAAACACAAGCTCCCTCTTCCATGCATACCAGAACTTCCCTTGCAAATTCCAAGGGAATCTAAGACGAACTGTGGAGGAGCTCTCAGAGGCAACCACTATCCAGCTGGACAAGGACTAGTTTGAGTCAGGCTATCGATGTGGAAGAATTATAACAAAATGCAACAGATTAACATAAATCAAACAAGGAGATTATTTTTACTACTTTATAAGTGAAATATACAAGCAGATCTTTGTACATACCACTGAGAAACCCCAGGTCACAAATGGCCAATATTTTCTCTGAGTAGGTCAATCCATTCATTTATAGTCCCAGTCTTAACCAATGGTCTCAAACACATGTGGATAGCTGATATCTCCAAGAAGTCCTATCATCCCTCATGTAACAGAGAAGTTAGAAGTCAGATTGCTGAGGTGCAATGTTACTGCTATTCTTTTAAGCAAGTGTGGTGGTAGAGGAGAATTTATATTCTTCTTTAAACAAGACGCAAAGCCAGTAAGTGACCACAGGTCTTTAATTGAACTGTTGTGGAAAAGGAATGTGAATAAATATGTGCTTAGCTAAAGCTGAGACAGGGTAGTGACCACAGTTGCATGATCCAGTTGTTATGCCTTAATATGGTGCTCACATAGAAGTGGTAGGCTACTGTGAGTGGATGTGGGTGAAACCCTTTGTCCACAGCTGTCACTGTGTGCAGCCCCAGTTTTCAGACATTCTCATTTCACCTAGGTGTGATCAGTAAACAAATGAAGGTGATTTTCAGGTTGACCAATAACAGTAGCACTCTGTCAGTGAAGCGAGGGTATTTTATGATGTTTCTGACCTCCCATTCTATCTGAGGATGTGCTAACTCTGACTTTACCTGGGCACTGCCAATAGGAAAAGGGGCCTGGTAGAATTTCTGTTCACCTTTAAAAACATACATACGATTTCTCTTTTAATTTCTAGTTATCATTTCTCCTCCTTAACTTTATCATGCTTTGGACAATATCCTACGATTCTCCTTTCCAAGCCCTGAAATAAAATGCAATTGAAATTGAAGAATATATTTAGACTTAGAGTTGGAAAGACATAACATTCAAAAGGGTCCTGGAAGCCCTAAAGTCTTCTCAAGTGCTAAGTTTCATAGGAGCCAGCTTTTAACCATTTTTCTTTCATTATCACTCCTCCTACACCTGAACATTTTGGACATCTAGAATCAAGAAGGAAGGGTGGGTAGGACAGCATTAGACTATGGGGGGCTTCTGGTCTTGGGAAGCAAGACATCCGATATTTAAAAAATGATCGTGAAAATAAATCAATTTAGATGCATAAAAACCTCAGGTCATTTTTAAAAAAATAAACATAATAGTTTTAGATTTACAGAAAAATTATAAAGATAGGGTAGTGAGTTCCCATGTACCCCACACCCAGTTTTCCCTATTTTTAACAGCTTACTTTAGTAGGTTATATTTGGCACAATTAATAAACTGATGTATATTATTAAACAAATATTAATAGAAATTATACTAAACCAATAATTGATATTAATCTAAATGAATATTCTCAAGTCTGTACTTCATTCACATTTCCTCAGTTTTTTTCTAGTATCTTTTTTCTGATCCAGTATTCCTTCTAGGACAACACACTGCATATAGTAGTTGTGTCTCCTGAGGCTTCTTTTGGCTGGCACATATTTTTAGATTTGTTGTTGTTTTTGATTGTCTTAACCACTTTGGGGAGCATTGGCCAGGTATTTTGTAGAATGTGTTTCAGTTGGAATTTGTCTCACATTTTTCTGATGGAGTTATGGGCTTGGGAGAAGACCAAAGACGTACATTGACATTTCGATCACATCATATCAAGGGTAATACTATCAACATGACTTATTGTTATTGACTGCAACCTCGATCACCTGACTGTGGTAGTGTTTGTCATGTTTTCTATTGTAAATCAATTCTTTGTCATCCCTTCCATACTAAAATCTTTGGAAGGAAGTCACTGCGTTCAGCCCATACTTACAGAATGAGGAGTTTTGCTCCTTTTCCTTGAGAGCAAAATATATGTATGGACTATGTGAAATTTTGTGTGGGAGGTTTGTCCATTCTGCCCCATTAATTTATTTATTTGCTCATTTCTGTATAACAGTATGAAATTTCATGAATATTTATGAGATATTGGAATATGATACATGCTGTTATTTATTTTGTTGTCCTAATTTTTTCAGCTTTAGACATGTCTCATAGTTTAAAAGAAAGTTTTCCATAAACTTTATTTTAAAAATAGGTATTTTATTTCTATATATATTTTTTATTATACTTTAAGTACAGTCATTAAAAAATTATGAGTTCATGTCCTTTGTAGGGACATGGATGAAGCTGGAAACCACCATTCTCAGCAAACTATTGCAAGGACAAAAATAGGTATTTTAAAAATAAATATTTATTGAACATCTACTATGCATAAAAATTATGCTAGGACTGAAGAAATATTAATTGAATGAAGTATTGATATCACCGTCAAGGAACTTGTAACTCTGGGAGAGAGGGAATCTCAAATAAATAACCTTCATGCAAGCAAGATACAGGCAACCCCAAACCCAAATTCCAGATCCACAAATTAATAGCCTTGTGACACTGGGCAACTCACTCCATCTTTCTCAGATTAAAAATATTCTGAAAAAAAAATTGCTTCATATAGTTATTTAGAAAATCAAATTAATATAATTTAAAGTGAAAAAAGGGTAGTAGATCACTGGTTAAGAATCTAGCCTTGGAACAGCTTTGATTCATACCCTGCCTTTCCCAATACTAGGTCCATGACCAGCAGAGCTAATTTGGACTTGTTTACTAACCTCTCAGACCTTAGATTTCATTGCCTATGAAACAGGAAAATAGAAAAAGCAGAGGATGGGGCAGGCTTGTGGGGTTATCAAGAGCTCTGATTTGTTTCCTCCAAGTTTATTATTTGTCTTAAAAGGCAGGGGATTATCCAGTGAGAATTTGTAACTGGAGCTATAGGTAGAGGAAGCACAGGCCTATGCGTGATATTCCAAGTCACCATTAGAGGGAAGGCAAAGGTCTGATGAGTAGGAGGGAACTCAAAAGGAACTATCTTTGTAAGGCTCTGTAGCAACTGCCAATGGTCTGGTGACTGCTTGAGCCCACCACAGAACAGCTTCCACTTGTTGCATGAAAACTTGCACTGAGACTCCAGACAGGTTGTAGGAAACTCTGTTCTTTGTCTGTTTTTATAATTTCAACTTTTATTTTACATTCAAGGGGTACATGTGCAGGTTTGTTACATGGGTGTACCACATGAGGCTGAGGTTTGGGATATGAAGGATCCCAGCACACAGAAAGTGAACATAGTATCCAATAGTTAGTTTTTCATCCCTTGCCCCGCTCCCTCTGCCCTCTAGTAGCCCTCAGTGTCTATTGCTCCCATCTTTATGTCCATGAGGACCCACTTCCACTTATAAGTGAGAATACTGCTTATAAGCAGTATTTCGTTTTGTTTTTCCTGCTTTTATTTGCTTAGGATAATAGCCTTTCACTGCATCCATGTTGCTGCAAAGAACATTAGTCCATTCTTTTTTTTATAGCTGCAGCTCCATGGTATACATGTACCACATTTTGTTTATCCAATCCATGTGTATAAGCACCGGGATTGATTCCGTGTTTTTGCTGAGATAAATAGTGCTTCAATAAACATACGAGTGAATGTGTCTTTTTGGTAGAATGATCTACTTTATTTCAGATACATACTCAGTAATGGGATTGCTGGGTTGAATGGTAGTTCTATTTTAAGTTCTTTGAGAAGTCTCCACGCTGCTTTCCACAACGACTGAACTAATTTAAATTCCCACCAACAGTGTATAAGTTTTCCCTTTTCTCCTAAGCCTAGCCAGCATCTGTTGATTTTTTCTTTTTTATTTTCACTTAATAATAGCCATTTTGACTGATGTGAGATGGTGTGTCATTGTGGCTTTGATTTGCATGTCTCTGATGATTAGTGATGCCGAACATTTTTTCGTATGTTTGTTGGCCACTGGCATGTCTTCTTTTGAGAAATATCTGTTCATGTCATTTGCCCACATTTTAATGGGGTTGTTTTTTCTTTGTTGAATTAAGTTTTTATGGATTCTAGATATTAGTCCTTTGCTGAATGCATAGTTTGCAAATATTTTCTTCCATTATAGCTCACTGCAGCCGACCTCCTGGGCTCAAACAATCCTCCTGCCTCAGCCTCCAGAATAGTTGGGACCACATGTGCATGCCACCATGCTTGGCCAACTTACTGTTGATTTAAATGTTGGTCTCTCCATTGGAATCTAAGCTTCTTCAGGGCAGGGTCCATATCATCATAGCCCTAGATCCTAGCATTGTGCAGATACTGAGTAAACATTCATTTAGAAAAGAATGATGAGGCTGGGCATGATGGCTTATTTCTGTAATCCCAGCACTTTGGGAGGCCAAGGCTGGAGGATTGTTTGAGCCCAGGAGTTTGAGACTAGCCTGGGCAATATAGTGAAACCCCAACTCTACAAAAACATTTAAGAATTAGCCACATGTGATGGCATGTACCTGTAGTCACAGCTGTTCTGGAGCTGAGGCAGTAGGATCACTTGAGCCTAGGAGGTAGGCTGCAGTGAGCTACTATTGCACCACTGCACTTCAACCTGGGCAACACAGTGGGACCCTGTCTCCCCTGCCCCAAAAAATGATGAATTCTGAAGATTTCATTATATAAATTATTAGGAAGCTTAGGTAGAGGATATAACAAAAGGAAACTGAACTTCGTAATCTCACTACAAACCCTCATTTCTGAGAGGTTGAGTGTGTGTCTGTGGCAATCATGATATGAGGAATGACAAGACATGCTAATTTCATTTTTTATTGTTTTATAAGCCTGCTTTTTCTTTTAATTTCTCTTTTTCTCCCACAGGAATAAATGAAGTCCCAATGAGAAAAGCAAAGTCTATTTTTTTCAGAGCTTGCTATGCCAAAGGAGTCAACCACCGTCACTTGTGTTTAAGCAGCGACTCAAAGTAGACGAAGCAGTGGTGAAGCTTCATGATGGGTGAGGATAGGTAGGCTTCAGATGTGCGCTGATTGGAGGCTATTGGCATGGGAGAGCTGTGGGTGGGCTTATCAGAAACAGGGCATCCTATTTCATTGGTTAAGGGTGCATATTTGGCTTTCTCTGGTTGGCCCTAGGTTGGAAGTAGAGACAAGAAGTAGGAAAACTGTCAGTTATTAATCAAGCCCTGGCCATCGTGGGTCAATTGTTACAGAAGTTACTGTGCAGCTTCCTGGATTGTTACTAGAGAGAGCAATCTGGCTTCCTGTAAATCTGACTTACAGCATGCTGGCTTGTTGGGCCGTTGACTGAAGATAAGGAGGTTTCATTTCCTGATCAGGTTGCTTCAGGTCATTTTTTTACAGGACCTGGTTGTTACCCATTTCTGCGTTCAGTCTCTCTTTCTTCTTGTCAACTTTTTATCTCCTTTTCTCCAAATCTTTTTCTCACTTTTTCTAAATCTTCTCTTTATATTTATGTATTTTCTTAGGGCCCAGTAAAAGTTAGGGAAGGGCAATGTGAAATGTGGTGAAGATTCAACTTATAAGGCAACAGGTTTTGTTCATTCACATCAAGCTCTGAAAATCTCTCATCTTAAAGGATGGAGAATTTGGTCAATTTAGTGATCCTAAATGTGCAATAAAGTTTGTTTTTATGAACAATTATTAAATGCCATGGTGTTATTTGGCTATATTCAAACACAACATTAAATCATTTTCTGTACAAGTCTCCCAGAAAATAGAAAACTTAGAGTCTGCAAACATAATTCAGTATTTTCTGGATGTGAGATTGAACTGAGCACACTTCAGTTTCTCTTCTCTGGACTTGCCAACACATGGAACTATTTTGAGATGAGGCAGCAGAAAAAAATTCATGTAGCCTCCAATATGTACTTCTAAAATATTTTATCTTTTTCATTTTAGGGACTCGGAATGGAGCTTAAATGTGGCCATTTGGCCTAACAGTGTTTCCTATTTGAAGATGCATTCAGATCCAAAAATTAGACTTAAAAAAAAAAAATGGGTGTTGGCAGCTGCGGTGGCTCACGCCTATGTAATCCAGCACTTTGGTAGGTCGAGGTGGGTGGATCATTTGAGGTCAGGAGTTTGAGACCAGCTTGGCCAAAATGGTGAAATCCCATCTCTACGAAAAATACAAAAATCAGCCAGGCATGATGGTGCATCCTGTAGTCCCAGCTACTTGGGGATACTGAGGCAGGAGAATCACTTAAACCCAGGAAGCAGAGGTTGCAGTGAGCCGAGATCATGCCACTGCACTCCAACCTGGGCAACAGAGCGAGACCCTGTTAAAAAAATAAAAGTGGGTGTTTTCTGTCTTTCTGGAAAATTACCAACTGGAGCAGTAAACCAAAGTGAGCTAGTGAGCATCAAGAGAAAGAAACTTGTTTAGATTAAGAGGTAGAGCTAATTTTTTATAGTACCCCTGATCTTGTGTAAAGAAGATCTATAATCAAAGAAAATATTTTATATTTTTTGTAGGTTTGCTAAATTTGTGGATCATACTTTATTATAATACATGAAATTTATTATTTTTGCACTTATTTTTATTTTCTTGAGACAAGGTCTCGCTCTTTCACTCAGGCTGGAGTGCAGTGGTGTGATCACAACTTACTGCAGCCTTGACCTCACAAGTTCAAGTGATCCTCTCACCATAGCCTCCTGAGTAGCTGGGACTACAGGTGTGACTCACCATGCCTGGCTAATTTTCTCATATATTTTGTAGAGATGGAGGTCTCGCTATGTTGCCCAGGTTAGTCTTGAATTCCTGGACTCAAGTGATCCTTGGCTTTCCAAAGTGCTGGGATTGTAGGCATGAGCTATCATGCCCAGCCGAAATTTATTTTTAATGGCATTCTTCCTCTCTTCTGGAATTTTTAAAGCCAATTAGGCATTGACATTGTTAGCTGTGAACATCTGCAGCATCTCCTCTGATCTGCTCTTTACCCAGCATAACACAGGATTTTTCCAAGGGAAGTGAGTATTGCCTTGGGTCTGTAAATCCAAGGAGGAGGGAGATAAGTTAGGCACCAGATCACAACAGTCTCCTACTGAACAAATGTACTTGAGAATAGCATTTTGGAAGGTGATCCAGCTGTGCAAGCTGAATCATTTTTCACAGCAATTTTACTAATGCTTCTCACCCCGAATTTTAAAAGCCTGATGAGTCACACTGAATGGCCAACTGCTTACATTTTCAAGCAGAACAGAAAAGCATTTACATACATAGGCACAATACATTACTAGATCAACCAAATTAACTCCTACTTGTATAACCCTTCAAACACCACACAGACAAAATAAATGGTCATTTAACCAGTAGGATCACTGGCAAATGTAACATTAAAATGTTGATTATTCTATTCCATCTCATTTTGTGCCTATGTTGTTCTTTCATGAAAGTAGTTAACCAACACCCATAAATCTGAAGGTGAGCAAAGGACGAAGTTAGGTTTCCTAATATGCTAAAATAATATCCGTATGAGATGAGACATTTTCCTGGCACAGCTTACAAAGAAAACATGCTTCCTTTAACTTAAAAGAGGAAGGGAGTGGACTAAATACTCTGTGGATGGTGCACTGAGTCTAGAAAATCTTCAGCCTTATGAGAACCAGGTTTGTATGAGGCAACTTAAAGTCTTTTATAAAGAAATAGTAATATTACTGTGTTCGAAAGGAGGAAGCAGCTTGTTCCTGTGGCCATTCCATAGCATTAGGATCATCACTCATCAGTTATGGTACATGGTACTTTTAGTCTTCAGAACATTTGGTGCATTTTATCAAATTTTCCACACATCACTAGAAGGCACAGTGGCCTATAACATCCTGTTTGTCACACAGTACTTTTGAAAGTGTCTAGGGATTCTATTTATTGGATCATCAATGATAGGAACAGAACATCTATATTTATCATCATCTCTAAAAGAACAGGGTCAGTTATTTGCCCAAGACTTGAAAGTATTTTTTATAATAATCTCCAATGAAAAGATGTGATCATTTTCCATATTCTACTTCTTATGGGCATGTAATACTTCATCACTGTGTCCTTTGCTCTGTACCCAAATCATGTTATGTGCTGTGTCATCAAACACCTAGTATGGCGTCTGACCACCCATACTCCATGTTTACGAATAATGATATCACATAAACAGGACAATGGAAATGAAATGCTAGGTAATACTATTGCAGAATCTGATAATCCGAGAGTTAAAGGCATCTTGAGGAATCACACATTCTAATGACATACCCCTTATACCAACGCTTGAACATCTCCAGCAATAGGTAACTCACTACCCTAAGTAGCATGAGGAGATGTCAAGTTCTGAAGCTGTTTGGGAACAAGGATATGAACACGCATGAAAAGGTGAGAGACAAGTCTTGACCCTTTCAAGGTTGAGAAGTAAAACTGAAATTGCCATATAAAATATGAACCTTTGTAGACCTATAGACTTAGCAAGTGGGTATACTAGGGAAACAAAACAGGCACAACAATAGGAAGAGTCACTGAAGTTTGGTTGGTTTTATATTCACTTGTGTTTGTGGTCTTCTATGGTTTGTTTATTTTATTTTGGCTTGGCTTGTATGTTGAAAAAAGCACCCCTCACTAAGAATTTATAAAAAATGCATTGGGGATTTAAATTTTTTATACCTGAATGGCTCAAGAACACCTATTTCCAAGCTAATGAAAAATACTGCTTGACCAATGACAACTCTGGGAAGCTTAGTATAAAATACAAAACCTCACAAGCATCTCTAATGAAGCCACCTAAACAGCCTTGACAATCTCAACAACAAATCATTTCATAAACCAAAATTATAAAACACATAAGGAAATAATCTATTCTAAGTGAAAGAGAGAGCTATTAAAAATTGTTTTAAAACTCTAAGATCTTTGTGTCTTTCTGGAAGAGGGAACAATATAAATTGTTTAATCTGAAAAGTCAAGCATACATGTTAAAAACTTAAGGGTTACTAAACCAACAGAAATAACAATATTTACTAAATTATTACGGAGAGAATATATAACACTAAATCAGTGACAGTAAGTAAGAAAAAGAAGAAAACGCTAAAGGATAGAGAAAAGGGGAAACATGGAGCACCAAAAAGCAGGTTAAAAAAAAAAAAGCACAAATAAGATGGAAGACATAAATCCAAACATATTAAGAATCAGTATAGAAGATAACATTTCTGAGAAGATGAAGCGTTTTCTCTCTATTTTTACCACTATTTATAACTAAGAACTGTGGATGTTATATATAAAATAAATAAAAGAAAATTCTGAAAGACGGAGAGAAGAAGAAAATGTGCTAAAGCCCTCAGCACATAAGGAACAGCACGGTAGTGACTTCCCTGAGTCGTCTTTTTTGCTGCTTATATCCTTCACTTAGAAATGAAGTAGCTAGCAACCAAGAAACACTAACAAGTGCAGAGAAAAAGAGCCCAAAAGAGCCTGCACTGCCTTTAATCAAAGGACCAGGAAAGCAAGAACCTACAAAGACAGACAACTTTCAAAAGATAATAACTCAACTCCAGTTGTAACCAGAACCAATTTCAGCTACTCACCACTCAAAAGCCAAACATGAGAAACAAGGGTTGGTAGGAGGAAACTCAAGTTTAATAGGAAAGTTAGCAAACCAAGAAGGTGGTGAGCTAGTGTTCTAAAGAACCACCTCAAATTTAAAAATTTATCATAGGTTTTTTAAAGGGAAACTTGGTTTGGGAGACATGCAGGAGTGGTGCAGGGTGCCGGGGCTGTGTGACTTAGTTCTGTTGGCTATCTTGGATAATTACCCATCTGGAAGTCTGGTTGGCATTATCTTGACTTCTACCCCATGGTGATGGACTAATTGTGACTCTCCCTAAGCAAGTGGATTCAGCAGTCAGGGCTCCGTGCGTGATTTGTTTCAAGATTAGCCTCCAGAATTTCTTAAGCAAGAACATAATTAGATAAGTATGCATTGCCAAAGGGGAGTATCTGGAGAAGGAAGGAACAAAGGAGTGAAAGGGGAGGAAAGGAAGAAAAAGAAACTAGGTGATTAAAATATATTTTTAAAACTGAGGTCCCCAGTTACACAGTCAAACATCACAGAAAACACTATAACCAAACTCCCATTCATATTAGCAAAGGTTGAGAGGGGAACCTAGACTTCCACCCTCATGATGCTTTAGGAAGGTGTTCCAACACCCCTGTCAGTAATGCAAGAGATAGTCAAGAGGGAGCTGGGACTTTCAACTCTGTGGACCAGTACCAAGACCTCCACCCATGAAGTATCAGAAAAGACTACGTGGAAAACCTGGATTTCAATACTCACCCAAAACTAACAAGGAGCCCCAGTCCCTTTCTTTCCACTGGGGTGGCATCAAAGGAGGCCTACTGGAGAGTCAGGAGTTCCCCTATTGCCCACAAGGAGGCTCCCCTACCCACAAATGTCAATGGATGATGAGTGAGGACCCTGGACTACTACCTCCTCCTAGCAATAATAAGGCAGTGCCTTCCCTGCCCTGCCAAAGCAGTATTGGACAAAGCCAGCTGCAACAGAAGGTTAAAATAAGAAAAGGAGCCTTGTAACACAATATGAAAATATCCAAGTTTAAATGGAAAATCACGAATCATACCGGAAAATCACGAATCATATCAAAAAATCACAAGAAACTCAAAGGAGAAAAAAAAGGCAATTAATATATAACACCAAGATATCAAAAAATAGTAGAATTATCTAACAAGGATTTTAAAGCAGATATCATAAAAATGCTTCAATAAGCAATGAAAAAAATGATGGAAACAACTGAAAAAAAATCGAGAGCCTCAGCAAAGAAATCAAAAGACTAAACAAAGTAATAGAAGATACATTTTTAAAAGACGCGAAAGTTAAATTTTAGAACTGAAAATACAGTAACCAAAATAAAAATGACTGGGTTCAATAGGAGAATGGAGAGAACAGAGGGAAAAATCAGTGACCTGAAGACAGATCACTAGAAATTATCCAATCTGAACCAGAGAGAGGAAATAAACTAAAAAAAGTGAAGAAGCAAACAATCTGAAAGACATGTTGGACTATAACAAAAGAGTCTTCCTACGTTTGTTTTATATATAATGCCCAATGCGTCTAGTTGTACTTAGTGGGAGGCATCGGGAAAAGTGTATCTACACCATTTTCCTACAACAGGAAGTTCTCTAGATTTCCTTGAGTCTTCTCATCTCCTGGAATAAAGTGTATGTAACCAAGAGAAATTAATAGATACAGAGCAGCTTAGTATTCTCCCAGTCTGTTTACTAAATTTGAATTTCTTTTCTCCTATGTTTCTGATGCCTCACAAAGAGCAAATTGGAGGCCAGGCACGTGGCTCATGCCTGTAATCTCAGCACTTTGGGTGGCCAAGGCGGGCAGATCACCTGATGTCAGGAGTTTGAGACCAGCCTGGATAACCATAGCCAACATGGCAAAGCCCCGTCTCTACTATAAATACAAAAATTAGCTCTCCATGGTGGCAGGCACCTGTAATCCCAGCTACTTGGGAGGCCGAGGCAGGAGAATAGCTCGAACCCGGGAGGTGGAGTTTGCAGTGAGCCAAGATCGTGCCACTGCACTCCAGCTTGGGTAACAGAGCAAGACTCTGTCTCAAACAACAACAACAAAAACAGGAGTAAATTGGAGAGTGTTCTAGGCAATGAAAGGCAAAAGAAAAAGTAGAATACATCATAAACTGACATCAAGATGTAGTGAATGGCCCCACAACATCCTGAAACTCCCTTCCAGAGACCATTTTTAGTTTGGCTTTCTTCAGCTTTTCAAGACGTTGCTTCTATCTACCATCTGTTCAGGCAGAAGGGGGTCATACTTCCAGGACTTGGCAGTGTCAGTGGTCTCTGCTGGTGCAGAAGCCTCTGCTGGTGCAGAAGCCTCTGGTCACTAGCTAACTACTCATTCCATTTGAATTCAGAAATCTTAAAACAATAACATTTTCTTGTTTACCCAGTCTTCAAAACACGGGGCACAAAGTAAGAAATTAAATGAAAAAGTGTGCTTTAATGAAGCAAGCACATACTAAGAACAGAATTCCAGAGTTCCAGTCCTAATTCTATTATGCCTTGACTTCTTATATGTAGAAGCTATTGTTTTTCCTTAAGAAATCATTTTTTTTCCTCCTGTGAAACATAAAAATCTTTGAGGTTGACAAAACCTTAGAGATTCAGTAGTGTAGCTCCTCAGCACAACCTAATATACCCCAATTTCTAGCTCCCAAACTCAATGAGTTACTGCACTTCACTGCTGTTACACATAATACCTGCCTGTTTTAGCTCCCTGGAATTTAAACTAGAATAAATGCTAATTAATCAGTTTATATGTGTGTATGTATATAGTATTTGTAAACATAATCTATATGCACTTTTTAAAAACGCAAGTATAAAATAGTTGTACAAGTGCTTTGATTTCTCAAAACCGCTATACATACCTATGGAAATGGTAATGTTACATAAGATGAAGCTGAGTAGTTACAGTTACAGTTTTTTACCTCAATGTATACTCCTACCTCTGCTAAAGGCAGAGAGTTAACTAGGGATTGCTTCGGGAAAATGAGGCAGAACATTTTCTTTTTTCAGAGGCTGCTGCTCACCTTTCCAGCAAAGAATAAGACTAGACAAGAGGGAAAAGCATGGAAGGGATTTGTTTTTAAGTGATCCAAACTCCAACTGTCAGCCTGAAAGCAAAAATAATATGCAAGACACAAATAAAAACGAATGATGACTTATCGGGACATTATTAGAAAGGGCACTGAGAATTTTAACTATACCACTTATAAATTTTTCGTCCTTCTTTCCAGAATCAAGGCATAATCTATGGCCAACCAAACATGTGTATCCAGCAAGAATTCAGATAGATTTTGTTTTTCTGAGATTTTTGTAAAAATTTTTCTACTTTGACCAAAAGTAATTTAAATAAACATAAATTCACTCCAATGACACACCCCACTTTCCTAGCATCTTAGTTGCCTCATGAGCCCATTTGACACCTCTCTCTCTCTCTCTTACTCTCTCTCTAGACTAACATACTTCACAGTATATTTTCACAGTATATTGTGTGGATTCCATTAAACGTTAAATACGTGGCTCAGATTCCATGTTAAGTTAAATTTGAGAAATTTTGGGTGAAATAAAGCTACAGGTCCATCTTTCTTCTGAGCTTTTAACAAAATTTAAAAGCTGCATCTCCTCTTCCTCCCCACCCCAACACATACACACTTGAGCAAGGAACACCTTCAGGTGTCAAGAATGATACTAGTGTTCCTTAAAACTTAACTGGGGAAACCAAAGCCCTAGGCACAAAAGTCAAGCTTCAATATCTAGCCATATTCATGAAAACTTTGCATGAAAATATATATATATTTCATTTCTCCTTTCATATTGGAAAAATGTTCCACAGGGTGTGAGTGTGATATTGTCTGCCACCTCTGGTGCACAGCTTGGTGCTCATAACTTTCAGAAGCAAGCACCACCTATCCATTTTTCTCTTTATCTGCCTCAAAGCTTGTATCCTACAACATCTAACCTAGCTTTTGCATAGCTTAGAGTAGATGTGAGAAACCTCATCCTCAATATTCTTCTCCTTATTTTTCTTTTTTCAAAAATATCATGTAGCTCTTCATAGTTATAGATAACAAAGTCATGCTCATTGTAGAAAATTCATCAAAACCTAATATGTAAATTAAAATCATGTAACTTGATGTCGTATAAAATTATCATAAAGTGTATATTAAGTAATAAATGCTTAATAATAATCAAGAAAATCATGAAAGAGAAAAACATGAATAAAAGTGATCTAGGATTTGCATTAACAGATGTCAGAATAACTAAAATTCCACTATGATATAATCAATGTGATAGTGCATAAGAATGGACATATAGATTATTGAAACCAAATAGAAAATCCCAAAATAGATCCAAGAAAAAGCAATAATTTAATATATAACAAGAAAATATTTGGATTCAGTGGGAAAAGATAATTTATTTAATAAAGGATGCACGGAAAATAGCTGTGCATTAAGAGAAAACTAAAATTATATCCCTTTATCACACCATACACAAAAATTAATTACAAATGCATTATACACTTAATTTTTTTATTGAAACAATTGAAACCCTTAACAGAAAATCTAGGAGATTGCATATTTAGAATCTAAGGAAGGGGAGAGAATTTTAACAAAGATAAGAAACCTATATAAAATTTATATATTTATATAATCAAATAAATATATAAATAAATATTTGAATACATAAATATGTAATTTTTATGTGCCAAAGTCTAAAATAAAAAATTAATAGGCAAATGATTGGCTTTGGAAAAATAATGTAGATGACAAACTATTATAAATGCTTATATTTGTAAGGACACAGGGATTCTTAAATGATACAGGAAAAATACAAACAACTCTATAAACAAAAAAATAGCAAAAACAATTCACTGAATAGAAAATTCTAGTGACAAAATTAATAGTAATTATGGAATTTATCTCAAAGTAACCATAAAGTATAACTTTATACCACTGAAATTAGCAAACATTTTTAAAAGCATTGTTTTTATTGTTGGCAGCGATATGCAATGGAAATGTAAATTGTTATCATCTTTGTAGAATATGGGAAGAAATCTGGCAAGAGCAATTAAAATTAAAAATTCTTAAAACTAAAAATTAAAAACACGAAGTTTCTACTTTTAATAGTATTTCCTATTGAAAAAATCTTCAGCGCATGTGAATGTATGTACATAGATGATTACTGCAGAATTATTTATAATGGCAAAATAATGGAAATGAGTTTACTTCCACTAGGAATCATGAAGCTTAAAAAGCATTTTTCCCACACTAACAATAAGAAAAATCTGGATAAACTAAATAAATCATAACTTCTCTTGAACTCATCAGGATAGTTTGAATAACCTAAGATGGGCAGGCCCCTCCCAAGAGAGAAGAGACAAGTAGGCTGACTTTTGCGGCAGAGCACAGGATAAGGATCACCCTACAAGCAGGTGAAAATACAACTAAAATTGTCATAGATTGCTGAAGACAGTGTCATAGGATAACACAACAGTATAGAACAAACAAAGGCCACGGACACAAGAGGTGACTGTGTTTATTTGCAGGCTCTTTTCCACGGAATGTCATCAGGTGGTCAAAAGACATATTCGTGTAAGGACAGGGGAGCAGAGGGATCCCACACACATATAGCTGCTTATTAGTGCAGATGGGCTGGAGGGGATGCAGTGCTCCTGTGGAAAAGGCTCAGAGCCTCACTGCCCTCAATCCCCTAGATATTATCTCATTTGAAACTAAATCTTTAAGGTTCCTTAGAGGGGTAACAAATGCTACTACCTTCAGGGCACATGCAAAAACCCATGATGGCTGGTGAGAGGATAAAAGGAAAAACAAAAGAAAGTAACACTTTGATGCTGGTGGAGAAGTCAAAAACAAAATCAAAAACAGTGTCTTAAACCCTATATCAATGCCATTCGAGGTTACTTACCACCAAGTGATGTACCAGCAAATCTCTCTACAGGAGATTTTTCTACAAATACAAAGAAGACCTTGGCTGCCATGGAGAGAAGAGACAGGAAGGCTGAGAGAGCCTTACCCTCAATGCTCAGACACACAGGGCCTGACTGAGACTGAGGCTGGACCAAAGTCACCACCACCACTCTGGCAAAGTACTGAATAAGAAGAACAATAGTTACTATGGGAAAGAGGAAAGAGCTTGGAGATCCACATTCTCTGTGTACATGTAGACAGGGACAAGTGGAACACAGCCACTAAGAAAAGCCCCCTGGGCCGGGTGCAGTGGCTCAGGGCTATAATCCCAGCACTTTGGGAAGCTGAAAAGGGCAGATTGCATGAGGCCAGAAGTTTGAGACCAGCCTGGGCAACATGGGGAAACCTTGTCTCTAGAAAAAATACAAAATGAACCAGGCATGGTGGTGCACGCTAGCGGTCCCAGCTACTCCTACTCGCGAGACTGATGTGGGAGAATTTCTTGAGCCCAGGAGGTGGAGGTTGCAGTGAGCCAAGATAGCGCCATTGCACTGAAGCCTGGTCAACAGAATGAGCCGTGCCTTAAAACAATAATAATAATAATAATAATAAACAAAAACCCCTCTTGTACCATAGCACCCTCCCTAAGCACAAGGCAACAGGTGATTAACACTGGAGGATTGTTGTTGTTGTTGTTGGGGGTGGGTAACAGCTTTATTCAGCTGGTAACAGTTCACACAACATATAATTCACCAATTTAAAGTTCACCATCCAATGGTTGTAATCCATTCACAGAACTGCATTAACCATCATCACAACCAATTTTAGAATCTTTTTACCTACCCCCACCAAAAACCTGTGTACCATTTAGATATTACCTCCAATCCTCTTACTTCTCTTTGCCTCTCCCACCCATCTCTTGACAATCATTAATTTATTTTCTGTCTCTACAGATTTGCACATACTGGACATTTCATATAAATAGAATTATACAGTATGTGGCCTTTTATTGATTTATTTCACTTAGCATATGGTTTTTGAGGTTCATACATATTGCAGCATGTATAAATATTACATTACCATTTAGAGCCAAATAATATACACATTTTGCTTGTTTATTCATTTGTTAGTGGACATGAGAGTTGTTTCCACTGTTAGGCTATTATGAATAAGATGCTATGAATATTCATGTAAAACCCTTTGTGTGGACATATGTTTTCTTTTGTTGGGGGGTATACTTAGAATTGAAATTGCTAGATCAAATGGTAACTTGATGATTCACTTTTTGAAGAACTACCACATAATTTTCCAAAGTGGCTACATTATTGTTATTCTCACCACCAGTGTATGAGCATTCAGATTTACCCACAACCTTGACAACACTTGGTTATCTGTATTTTTTATTACAGCCATCATAGTGGATGAGAAATGGCTATTCATTGTGTTTTTCATTTGCATTTCTCTAATGACTAATGATATTGACATCGTTTCATACATTTATTGTCCAGTTGTATATCTTTAATGGGAAAATGTCTATATAGATACTATCCCCGTTTTAAATTGGTCTGTCTTTTCATTATTGAGTTGTAAGAGTATTTTATATATTATTTATACAAGACCCACGTTAGATATATAATTTGCATATGCCTTCTCCCATTCTATGAGTCATTTTTTCATTTTACTAATGGTATCCTCTGAGGCTCAGTTTTTATTATGATGAAGACCAATGTATATATTTTTTCTTTTGGTGATTGTGCTTTTGATATCATATCTATGAAACCAATGTCCAACGTCATGTTATATCCAAGATGATGTTTATGAACTATCCAATGTCATGAAGATTTTTTTGTATATTTTCTTCTGTATGTTATAGTTTTAGCTCTTAGATTTAGCTCTTTGATTCATTTAAGTTAATTCTTGTGTGTGGTGTGAGGAACAGCTCCAATGCCCCTTGCCCTTTTTTTAGCATTTGAATGTCCAGCTTTCCCAGCTCCATTTTTTGAAAAAGTTTTCTCCTCATTAACTTATTTACCACCATTTTTTAAAAAATCAATTGACCATAAATGGATAGTTTTATTTCTGAGCTATTTTATTCCCTCAATCATAGTTTATAGTTTACTCATATACCAGTATCACACTGTCTAGAGCTAAATGATAGCACAGTCTAAAGCTACATGATATCTTTCTAGTAAGTTATAAAATATAGAAGTTTGAGTCCTGAAAATTTGTTTTTTGTTTTTTGATTTTCTTTTCAAAATTGTCTTGGCTATTCTGAGTCCTTTCATTTCCTACAGGTTTTAGGATCAACCTGTCAATTTCTACAAAGAAGCCATCTGGAATTCTTTTTTTTTTTTTATTGAGACAGAGTTTCTCTCTTGTTGCCCAGGCTGGGGTGCGATGGCGCGATCTCTACTCACCGCTACCTCTGCCTCCCAGGTTCAAGAGATTTTCCTGCCTCAGCCTCCTGAGTAGCTGGGATTACAGGCATGTGCCACCACACTTGGCTAATTTTGTATTTTTAGTAGAGATGGGGTTTCTCCATGTTGGTCAGGCTGGTCTCGAACTCCCGACCTCAGGTGATCCAGCCACCTTGGCCTCCCAAAGTGCTGGGATTACAGGCATGAGTCACCGCGCTAATTGCCATCTGGAATTCTAAAAGATATTGTGTTAAATCTCTAGATCACTTTGGGGATTCCTGTTGTCTTAACAATACTGTCTCCCCATCCAAGAGCATGTAATTTATTTAGTTATTTAGATATTATTTCATTTCTTTCAACAAAGTTTTGTACTTCAAAGTATATGTTTTACACTAATTTTGTAAAATTTATTCCTGAATATTTTTATTCTTTTTATGCTATTATAAATATAATTATTTCACTCATTTTATTTTCATTATGTTCATTGCATGTGTATAGATACAGAACTGGATTTTGTATATTAATCTTGTGTCTTGCAACATTTCTGAGCTCGTTTATTAGTTCTAAAAGATTTGTGGTGGATTTCTTAGAATATTCTATATACAAGACATGCTGTCTGTAAATAGAGATAGCTTTGTATTTCTTTCCAATCTGAATGTCTTTTATTGGTGTTTATTATGTGTTGCCCTGTGTAAAATCTCCATTACAATGTTAAACATATGTGATGAGAATAGACATCTTTGTCTTGTTTCTGATGTTGGGGTAAAACATTTAGTCTTTTATCATTGACTATAAGGCTAGCTGTGAGTTTTTCACAGATGCCTTTTATCAGGTTAAGGAATAGTGTGTTGAGTGTTTTTATAATAAAAGGCCACTGAATTTTAGCAAATGCTTCTCTGAATTATTGAGATTAGAATGTGGGTTTTGTTTTTTATTCTATTGCTATGGTATATTACATTTATCAATTTTCAAATATTAAATCAACCTTGCATTTCTTGGATAAATCTCAGTCATTGTGTATAATTTTTATATGTTGCTTGATTCGATTTGCTACTACATTGTTGAGAGTCTTTGCATCTACGTCCGTAAAAGGTATTGGTCTGTACTTTTCGTTCACATCTTGACCCGGTTTTAGTATCAGGGAATGGATTAAAAGTATCCTTCCTTTTCTATTTTTTGTTAACAGTTAGTGAAGAAATTCTGTTAATTCTTCTTTAAATGATTGATACAATTCTAGAAAATTTTTCAGCCATTTGATGGACTAAAGATAGTCATAACATACACAAACCCAAATTCAGAAGCTTAACTCGTGAGTATTTTTACAATGACATAGAGGTTTGCCTATTACCAGGTGTAAATATTATTGAACTGAATCTCTACTGTTCTCTACTGTTTAACCAAAACTACAAGCTGAAAAAAAAAAAACCCACAAAAATACAACCCGTTGTCAAGAGAAAAAGCAAACAAAAGAACCATATCCAGAGATAACCGGAGATTGCAACTGTCAGACAGTGACTTCCAAAAAAACTATAAAAAATATGTAAAGGATAATTCTTTTTTTTTTTTTTTTTTTTTTGAGACAGAGTCTTGCTCTGTCGCCCAGGCTGGAGGGCAGTGGCATGATCTTGGCTCACTGCAAGCTCCGCCTTCTGGGTTCACGCATTCTCCTGCCTCAGCCACCCGAGTAGCTGGGACTACAGGTGACCGCCACCACGCCCGGCTAATTTTTTGTATTTTTAGTAGAGACGGGGTTTCACCATGTTAGCCAGGATGGTCTCAATCTCCTGACCTCTGATCCGCCCGCCTCGGCCTCTCAAAGTGCTGGGATTACGGTGTGAGCCACCGCGCCTGGCCTAGGATAATTCTTAATAACATGAAACATACTAAGTAGAGGGTGAATTTCAGATGAGAGAGGAAAATTGTGAGAAAGTGTAAGATGAAAATGCTGTAAATCAAAAAGAAAAAGAATAGTGGTAAAAGAGATAATGAATGCCATTGATGAACACAGTCAAGTGAATTATAATTGGATTTGAAAATGGGCCAATATAAATTTTCGAAACTAAAACACAAAAAGAATAATTATTTGAGTTTGAGAGCCAGGACAGAGTCTCTAAGAACAGTTAATTAATGACAAAAATTCTAATATCTATGTAATTGGAGACCTCAAAAGTAATGTTGAAGAAGTAATGTTTTAAAATACAAGAGCCAAGCATTTTTTTTTAAATTAATGATAGTTACTAAAACTCAGGCCCAAGAAGATAGGAAAACTCCAAACACATGAATACATTTTTAAAGAAGAAAACAAAACACGTAGAATTATTTTATTAAACTACTGAAACTTAAGTGTTTTTGAAAGCTAAATATTTTTTAAAAGATGTAATACATACAGAAGAAGAAAGGCAAGAATTGTAGTATACTTCTCACCAGAAACTGTGAAAACCAGGAAACGTTGAATTGACATTCTTAAAGTATTACTTAAAAAAATTAACTCTCAATCAATAATTAAATACCCTGTAAAAATATTTTTAAAAGGCTTTTTTACAAACACGTGATGAGAGAATGCATGACCAGAAGACATACGACATAAGAAATAATAGTTGAAGTACTTCAACCAGTAGAATATCATATCAGACAGACATGTTGATCTACAAAAAACAGTTTTCCAAAAACGGCAATATCAGAGATAAATATATAATACTTAAATTGTTTTTAAAATTGTCTTAAATATTATGGATTTAAAAAGGTAATAATAATGCATGTTGGGAGTTACGATATACATAAAAATAAAATGTGTGATAATATCACATTCAATTTAAGAGGAAAATTGGAAGTATATTGTTGTAATGTTCTTACACATCATGTGAAATATTATATTATTTGAAGGTAGGATATGTGCAAAGTTAGAGGGTCTCCAAGATCACCTTCAGGTTCAATAATTTGCTAGAACTCACAGAATTTACAAAAACAATTATATTCCAGTTACAGTTTATTAGAGTAAAAGAATACTGATTCATAGCAGCTAATGAAAGAGGCATACCAGGGACGGTCCAGGACTCAACAAGCATGAGATACCAGTTGTCTTTTCCTTATGTAGTTGCGCAGACAGTGCCTATTTCTCCCAGCAGTGATGTGTGGCAATATATACAGTATTGCCAACTGAAGGAGTTCATCCAAACACTCAATGTCTAGTGTTTTTATAGGGGGTTGATTTCAGAGATATGGCTGATCAACCATGTAGCTGATCTTAGTTTCCAGTTTCTCCAGAGGTTAAACTGATAACTGTCTGGCCCAAGGCCCCCACCATAGATCACATGGTTAGAACAGGCTATCTAGAATGAACCAAGGACCTCATGTAAATAAAGACATTCTTATTAAGCAGAACGTTCCAAGGATTTAGAGGTAACCTTCCAGAAGCCAGGGGGAAAGGGCAAAACCTTTATTTGGGCAAGATTAATCTTTTCTGCACAATGTAATAAATTGAAGAAGTATAATGCAAATGCTAGAATAACACTAAAAACATTTTTGAAGGACTATTAATAAGGTAAGGGTAGAAAGTCAAATTATAAAATACATACAAGCCAAAATCAGACAAAAAAATTAAAATGGAAGAATGAACACATGGAACAAATAGAGAACAACTAGCAAGATGGTAGATTTAAATCCAACCTCATCAATGATTGTTTTAAGCATAAATGGTCTAAATTCCACAACAAAAAGAAAGAGATTATCATGTTAGTTAAGAAAAGAAGACCTAACTATATACTGTTCACAAGAAATCTGCTTTAAATAGAAAAACATGTGTGTTAGTCTGCTTTCTGTTGCTTATAACAGAATACCTGAACCTGGATAATTTATACAGAAAAACAATTTATTTCTCACAGTTGTGGAGGCTGAGCAGCTCAAGGTCAAGGGGCCACATCTGGTGAGAGCCTTCTTGCTGATGAGGACTCTCTGCAGAGTCCTGAGGCAGCACATGGCATTACATGGTGAGGGGCTAAGTGTGTTAGGACATTAGCTCAGGTCATTCTTCCTCTTATAAAGTAACTAGTTCCCTTCCCATAATAGCTCTTTAAACCATTAATCCATTAAGCCATAAATGTATTCATCCATTCATGAAGGCAGAGCCCTCATGATTCAATCACCTCCTAAAGGCCCCACGTCTCAATACTGCCACACTGGGAATTAAATTTCAATATGAGTTTTAGAGGGAACAAATACTCAAGCCATAGAAACATGGATAGGTTAAAATTTAATGGATGGCTATGTATACATATATACTAGGCAAACACTACTCGAAAGCTAGAGAGTCTATATGAAATGCAGTCAAAGTAGACTTTAGAACAAGGAACATTTACTGGGATAAGTGGGTTAATTCACTAGGAATATCTAAGAATATTCTTAATATTATAATGGTCAAGTGTCAGTTGATAAATCGGGTCAATTCACCATGAATACCTAATAATTCTAAGTGTGTATTCATCAATATCAAGCTTTTCTAAATAGACACAGCAAAGATAAATAGAACTGAAAGGATAAATAGAAAAATCCACAGATATATTTGGAAATTTTGGCATTCCTCTCTGGAGTCAATAGAACAAAAAAAAATCAGTTTAGTAAACAGAAGAGTTGAACAACATAATTAACAAGCTTGACCTAATGTACATGAATGAAAAACTCCACCAAACAATACAATTTATATTGCTTTCAAGCACCAATTGAATATTCATCAGAGACGTCATAATTAATAGTGGAAAACTAAATATTGTTATCTCTAAGATTGTGAAAAGATAAGGATATTCACATATACCAATCCTATTCAACATCAGTGGATGGCCTAACCAGTGAAATGAGAAAAAATAAATAAAAATTATGCAGTTCAAAAAAAAAGAGAAATAAAACTGCTTCTATTCACAGAAGGCATAAATCTTTATATAGAAAATAGTTAAATACACTTTCTTTTCTTTGAGACAGGGTCTTGCCCTGTTGCCTGAGCTGGAGTACAGTGGTACAATCATGGCTCATTGCTGCCTCAAACTCCTGGGCTCAAGCAATTCTCTGTCTCAGACCCCTGAGCAGCTGAGACTACAGGCATGCACCACCACATCTGGCTAATTGTTTTAATTTTTTGTAAAGATGGGTTCTCACTATTTTGCCCAGGCTAAAAAACTATTTAAAAAAAAAAAAAAAAAAACTTCTACAACTAGTAAATGAGTTTAGCAGGGCTTCTGGACATAAGGTCACCACACAAAAATTATTTTTATTTTTATAAACTAATAATAAATGACAAAAAATAAATATTAATAAGAATTCTATCATAACACCAAAAGCACTAAATCTAAATCTTACAAAACATGGGCATAATTTGTATTCTGAAAGCTACATAACTTTAATAAGACAAATCCCTAGGATGGCCAGTCAAAAGATGTAATTGGCTATGAGGGGGAAAAATGGTATCCAGCATGAGACTTCACTGAAGAAATATTGAAAGCTAGAATATGGTAAAACAAGGTAAAACATACAGAAACATTGGTAGAAAAAGAAGTGTTTCATTCTCTCTATCATGCCAGATGAATTGGGAAAAAAATAAAATGAAGAAGATATAAAGCCCAAAATAACATAAATAATAAGTTGGATATAGTGGATACTAATTGAATTCTGTCATGAAAACAGAGAATATTCATAAAACCTTCACAAAATTGACCATATATTAGGCTATAAAGAAAACTGTGATACAAGATTGAGAATAGAGGAAAAACTATCTATATTATCTGAGTACATTGCAATAAAATTAGGTATTCCTAAGAGAGCCAGAAAACAGGAAACCCTATCAGTTCTTCCTTTAAAAATTTTTGTGTTAAAGAGGAAAATAAAGAGGACATTTTAGAACATCCAAAAATAACATTACACATTAGATCATATAGGATATGACTCAAATAGTTCTTTAAAAAAATCATGGTCTTAAATTTAAAATCACAAATATTAGTTGTCAAAATTGGGAGGGAAAAATTGGTAGAATTAATAAATCAACCCAGGAGTCATTTTGGGGATTGGGAGACAGATAAAACAATCTCAAAGACATTGTGTATAAAAAGCCAATTTCTGGAGGTTATGTATTATATGATTTCATTTATATAGCATTACACAAAATGTGGTATATACATTCAACAGAATATTATTTAGATATAAAAAGGAATAATGTTCTGATAAATGCTACAACATGGAGGAACCTTGAAAACATTATGCTAAGTGAAATAAACCAGCAAAAAAAAGGATACATATTGTATGTTTCCACTTCTATGAGGACCCGGAATTGGAAAATTCACAGAGACAGAGAAAGATCAGAGATTGCTATGGGCTGGGGGAACAAAAAAATGGGGGAGTCACTGCCTAATGAGTAGTTTCTGTTTGGGTGATAAAAAAGTTTTGGAAATTAATAGTGATGGTGGAGGCACAACATTGTGAATATAATTCATGCCACTGAATTGTACACTTAAAAACAGTTAAAACAACAAAGTTTATGAGATCTATGTTACAATGATCTTGTAGTATCAAAAACCATTGAATTGTACACCTTAAATAGATGAACCGTGTGGTAGGTAAATTACATCTTAATAAAGCTGTCAAAAAATCAAAATGCTAAAATTTTATAGATGGGAACAGTTTAATGATATCCAAGGGATACTAATGGGGAGGGTGACTATAAAAAAAAGTAGAACAAGAGAGTCCTGTGCTAGAACAATTCTGTGTCTTGACTGTGATAATGACTTATGGAATAAAATTGTCCTGAGCAACACACACACACACACACACACACACACTAGTGCATATAAAACTATGAAAATCTGAATAATCTTTAGCTCAGCTACTATATTGAAATAATGTCAGTTTTCTGGTTTTCATACTTTACTACAGTTATTTTTTGTAATGTTACCATTGGAGAAAGCTGGGTGAAAAATACACAGGACTGTACTATTTTTGCTATTTCCTGTGAGTCTGTAATTATTGGAGAAGGTTTTAGAAATGATAAGGTATTCTTTACTGAAAGCAGCAAAAAATAAAGAAATTAAAATATACAAAATAAGCAGTGATATAACAGAAATATAAACATAGATTCAGAAAAATCTCAAATTTGAGAGTGGTTTTTCTCAACCTTAAGGAAGTGATTCTTTTGGAAGAGATTGGTCATTGGATCTGGGGTATAACTGACTCACCTTTCAAATCTGCATTTTCTCTCCACCAGAAGCTGGTAGCTTCTTGTACAACACCATCACTTCTCATCTGCACTTTGCAATAGCCTTCCAATTCATCTCTCTGATTCCATCTTATGCTTCCCAATCATTCTTCACACAATAGCCAGAGTAACTTTTTTAAAATGTCAATCCTATCAGGTCGCTGAAAGGGTTCCTTTCCTATATTGAAATATAAAAAGTAATTCTCTTTGGTTTTTTTCTATTATTCTGTAATTTTTTCAAGTAATTTCCTTTTTAAATTTCATTTTGATGTAAGTTATGGGAGTCTATTTTTCTCCCAAACAGTTCACTATTTATACTAAATTTAGTTATGAAATAAGACTTTCTCAAAGTATTTATCTGTGATGCTAGTTCTATTATACAATAAATCCAACATACCATTATCTATTTCTGAATTATTTACTGTGTTAAATTGGCCTCTCTGTTAATTTGTGGTTCATTGTTACATTATTTTATTGTTGTTTTACTTTTATTATAATTTATTGCAGTACTTGGTAATATAAATCCTCCTTTAAATACTTTAATATCTAAAATTTTTAATATTCATTTTTGAATATCGAACACAAATTTTTGCAGGACTCTCACCCATTTTATCTTTACAGAAGAATTATTTATTCATGCTTGCACATTCCAAAACAAGACCTTTTGGGATTTTCAACGTATTTGCATTTAAACATATAAAATAAGTTGCCATGATTAAAATATTCAATCATCTTATTGTGGAATTAAATGAGCCTACTGGATTAACTTCCAATCATTTCAATATCTACCCTGCTGATACTTCCAGTACAGTGGGTCTCAGTTTCTTGATGTTTTCTCCTCCAATGACCTTATCTTCCTCCCCACCTCAGTCATTTACTCTCATAGGCATAATCCCAGGTCTCCTGTACCAATAATTACATTTCTTCTATATCCTCAATTTCCAGCACTGCCTCCTAACTTTTCAGTTCACTAACTTTAGTACTCCAACTCCAGTGGTCCTTAGATCTTTAATTCTGTCATCTTTTCTCTTTCCTCCTACCATCTTTCATCGTCACTGTTTTCCTTACACAGCTTGGATAGTATGTTCCCGTTATATTAATGATTATTCTCCTGTATAGATAAACTCAACTCAGTTGCTCCTCTGTATATTCTTTTTATTCACCTGAAAAACCTTAGCCCTAATAATTTCAATTCTCTTCCTCCTTATACCAGCACCCACGAAGCAGAATATGTTTGTAAGAAAATCATTATCTTCACTTTAAATTGATGGCCACCATCTTCCAAGGGCCCATAATACCACATGGGAATCCTATTACATTTCCCCAGCCTATTCAATCTCCAAATCATCTAGTAACTATTTCATACACTGTTACAGTCTGCAATACATCTTCCCCATTCTCACTTTCAACTGATAATTTTGCTTTCTTTTTCAGTAAGAAAATAGAAACAATTAAAAAACAACTTTTGCATGCTCCTATCAGTATAGCTTCCAACCCACCTGCATTTTTGCCCATAAGATCTGCCTTCCATTCTGTTGCTAGAGTTAAATGGTTTATGTGACATTCTAAGACCAGCTTTTCTAACTATAAACTGAATTTCTTTCCTTTTGCCTACCCAAGGACATTTGGCCTGGAAATTGTTCCCTCTTTCTCCGGCATCATGAAATTTTTCACCTCAAGGTTCATTCCAATCATCATGTAAACTTTTCTCCCATATTAAAAAAAAATTCGGTTGACATCTGTGTTCGTTCATTTTCATGTTGCTGTAAGGACATACTTGTGACTGGGTAATTTATAAAGAAAAAAGCTTTAATTGGCTCTCAGTTCCACAGGACTGGGGAGGCCTCAAGAAACTTAGAATCATGGCAGAAGGGGAAGCAAACATGGCCTTCTTCACATGGTGGCAGCAAGGAGAAGTGCTGAGCAAAAGGGGAAAAGCCCCTTATAAAACCACCAGGTCTCCTGGACACTCACTCACTATCACAAGAACAGCATGGAGGTAACTGCCCTCATGATTCAGTTACCTTCCATCAGGTACTTTCAATGACATGTGGGGATTATGGGAACTACAATTCAAGATGAGATTTGGGTGGGGAGACAGCCAAACCATATAAGCCTCAGATCCTCTTTCTCCAGACACTTCATTCGTCTGGTCTTCTGTATGACAAATTTCTTAAAAGAGCTGTCCGTATGCATGATTGTCAATTTTCCTCTCATCTGTATTATTTGGAACTACTCAAATTATGCTTTAACCCCCGTACTCCACCAACACAAAATCTTATCAAGGTTACCAATGATCTCCATATTGTTAAATTTAATAATCAATTTTAATCTTACACAATCTATCACTGGCATGTGAATCAAGGATTACATCCTCCACTTTGATTCAATTTTTCAAGTTGGCTTCCTGGACAACACAGTTTTCTTTCCTTTGCTGTTTTCTCCTCATTTTTCTTCCAACTTCCTAATGTAGGGCTCTCTCAAGCTTCCATCCTTCATATCTATATTTCTGTCTCCAAATCTTGGTAATCTGTTTCAGTTCTAAAGCTTTTTATAAGATTGTATCATATGAAACTGCTATTACTTTCAGTCCAAAATCATCAAGTATTGTTGATTGTATGTTATCTGATCTATGTCCTGTCTACATGGTGCCAACTCGCAGCTCAGAAGCATCCTCTAAATCACAACGTATATGGTCAAACGGTAGATAACTCAACCTCAGCCATCTATGACTGAACTGCTCATTTCCACCAAACCACTCATTCTGCAGCTTAGCCCAAGTAAATTCCTGGCAATTCCATCTTTCCACTGCCCAAACCAAAAACCTATGAGTTATATCTGACTGGTCTCTTTCTCTTGCTCCTCATATCCAGGCTGCCAAAAGAGCCTATTGGTTCTAACTTCAAACTACGCCCAGAATCTGATCAACTTCTCACCTACTCCACAGCCGTCACCCTGGGGTAGGTCTCCAGCATCTCTGTCTTGTGTAGATCCCTCCTATATCTCCCTGCTTCCACCTTACCCTCTACAGTTTATTCTCAACACATCGGCCAGGGTCATCTCTTCAGTAGATAAATTCGATTATTTCACTACCTTTCTCCAACCCACTGATGGCTCCTTTTCTCACTCAGAATCAAAACCTAATTCAATGCATTGGCCTCGAGGATGTTCCTAATCTAGCTTCCTGTGACTTCATCTCACACTATTCCCCCTCCCTCATGAAGCTTCAGGCTCGCTCTCCCTTCTTCCTGGAGTATTCTTCCTCTGGTTAACCAAGTGGAAAACTCCAGCACCTACTTTAAATCCCTTCTCAAATGTCACCTTATCAGTGAGACCTATGTAAGCAACCAATCCTCCCCTCCAACTCCACCAAGGCACTGCCAATCTCTGCAATCCTGCTGAATTTTTTCATTATTTAACCCTGCTAATTACCTTCTGGCACGCTATACATCTTTCTTATATTTATGGTTCATTTCTTATTTACCTCTGCAAAAAGGAAAGCTCCAAGATTTTCTGCTTTATTGATTCTATTCTGAATACCTAGAATAGTATCTGGCATGTAGTAGGTAATATTAATGCAATATTTTTATAAATGCAAATATATTTATATTTATTCTTTCATTTAAAATATTACCCAAATATTAGAAAAATCCATGCAGTCTTGCTTTCTGTATTGCTTGAACAGAACTACCTTTTATAGAAAATTGTTGCAGTTTTGTTTCTCCAATTGATAGCAGTCAGGATATACATATCTTAAACTATGGACAACCCTAACATATCCATCACTTTTCATTCACTCTTCCTTGTTTTTTGCTTTAAACTTCACAATGGTAGTCCAAAATCTGAGCCACGAAGTGTGTTGACATCCAAATTTAAACTGAAATATCACCCTATTAACAGGCTTTAAAACCTCTATGGCAATTCACAATATAAAGTTTCTTTAATAAATGCAGGTTCCCTAAACTCAGTTTTGACAGAGACAAAATTTCTTTAACTGATTTTTCCCCCTCTCCTTAAACTTTTTAGCTGACACACTAAGTTGATGAAAGTCATGTGATGCACTGGAATATGAATCTGCCATCCATCTTGCTACATCCCAATTCAATGTGCCAGCTGAATTCATTTTCAAAAGCCCTGCAGCTCCACAGAAATGCAGCTTTTTAAAGTCACATAAAAATAATAAAAGATTGCAGGTTGGATGTTAACTTTCTAAAACACCGCAAGCAATAAAAGGCGCTCCTCAACAGGAAGTGCTCCCTACCCATCCCTCAAAATAGCACACATCACTCTACAATGATATTCAGAATATGGTGTCCTTATCCTGGGCCTCTTCCAGGTTCTGTTTCTATGGTAACCAAAAAATATTTATTGTAAAGTGATCTCAGATAGTCAGCAATGACACACACAGATCTCAAGGCTGGCATAGAATGTACCATTCAAGTATGACCAGTAACTCTTTTTCTCTTCTATTTTGAGTACCAACATTCTCTCTAGACCCCCAAAATCAGAAATATGTAACTGACAGATATATTTTTGTATGTGTAATAGAAATAAATTGTAAACTCCAATATTGCATATTAAGTGTGTATCTACTGGCTCTAGATTTTGATATCAAAGGTCAGCATCTCTTTGCAGAAAAAAACAGTGTTTATAATTTTTTTTTGATGTGACGGAAACTATTTTGTGACCATTTGGCTATGCTGTGGTACTCGGATATTTTATCAAGCGCTGCTGTTGATGTTGCAGTGAAGGTATTTTTTAGATGAGATTAACACTTAAATCAGTAGATGTGGAGTAAACAGATTACCCTCTAAATTGTGAGTGAGCCTTATCCAATTAGTTGAAGAACTTAAAAGAAAAAAAAATGCTGCTCTCCAGAAATAGAGAATTCTGCCCACAGTCCGCCTTTGGACTTGAACTGCAATGTGAACTCTTCTCTGGGTCTCTAGCCTGCTGGACTACCCTGTCAATTTTGGATTTACCAGACTTGCCAGTGTCTATCATGGCATGAGCCAATCCTGAACCCAATCAATCTCTCTTTCTCTCTCTCTCTCTATCCCTCTCTTGGACATATATATCCTGTTGGTACTGTTTCTTTGGAGAACTCTGACTAATGCATGTGATATCATTAATAAAAAAATTCAAATTATTGTGAAGAAAAATTAAATTGTACTGTTATTTTTTATTTCCTTCTTTTCTCAAAAGCAAGTAAATTTGGTACCAATGAACTAGAAAGCTTATTTATTTGGTTATTTTTAATAATTAGTACTTCTAGGAAAGAAAATATTTCTTAATTTTGAACTTATAAAAGAACAGGATATGACACATTTCATGTTATTATATTTCATAGATTTAAAAGGTTCCTTTTGCTAGTATAGATGATTAAGTATCCTTTTCAGAATGGCTATAGAGAGGACCACCCTTGGTTGACATTAGAAAATTGTTTTTTTAATCAAAATGTTTGAAATGTTAGGCTTAAGGTTTATTCTCAAAGAGTTTTTTTTAATAAGAGAAGTAGCAAAAACAGTCTTATTTCAGAGTATGTTTAATCTGTTTGATCCTTAGGGATGAGGGAGAAGTGAATTATTTAGTTGGTTTGGATGTATTTTATTTCTTACCATGGGGGAATAAAATTTGGCCATCTCCTGCTTTGGTTTCATTAAAACTATAATAAAAATTATGCATAAAATGCTTCCAAATTTCTTTTTAAGCCATAGTTTAACATAAATCTACAAACCATCACTGTAGCATGGTGGTTGTGAGCGTATCTGAGTTTGTATTCTAATTCTTTCATGTACTAGCCTTGGAATGTGGGGTGGGTTTTAATCTTTGGGCCTCTGTTTCCTGTCCATAAACAGTGAAAATAATTGTATTTTCCACATGTTATTGTGCTGTTTAAATGAGTTTAATGTGTATAAAATTCTTAGAATGTAAGAAACAATCCATTTGATGTACCAGTACTATTAGAGAGATTTTCATTTGTATTTCTGGTTGTATATACAATGAAACTAGTTTAGATTAAGAGACACAACTGAGTTTATTGTAACAAATAGAAAGTGGCTACCACTTATCTGATTTCAAAAGTTTTGTTATTACATTAATTTGAGCATTTTGACTAATTGAAATATGATCTCTGTGGATCCACCCAGTAGACCTCAGATTTTTTATTATGATGGGAAGTAATCAGTTCTGCTAGATTGTCCATCTGAGAAATTTTCTGAAAAACATGTCCTTGGACTTTAGTCCCCTTTCCTGTCTTTCTTTCTTTCTTTTTTTATTTAGATGAAGTTTTGCTCTTGTTGCCCAGTCTGGAGTGCAATGGCACGATCTTAGCTCACTGCAACCTCTGCCTCCTGGATTCAAGCGATTCTCCTGTCTCAGCCTCTCCAGTAGCTGGGACTACAGGTGCATGTCACCATGCCTGGCTAATTTTTGTATTTTTAGTAGAGACAGGGTTTCATAATATTGGTCAGGCTAGTCTCGAACTCCTGACCTGAGGTGATCTGCCTGCCTTAGCCTCCCAAAGTGCTGGGATTACAGGCATGAACCACCATGCCCGGCCCTTTCCTGCCTTTTTAGCACCAACTTGTAAGCAAGTAATTTATCTCCTCTGCAAATTCATTTTGTAAAAATTTTCCACATAATCCTTGCCTATTTTTCTTTGTTCTTCCATCTTCCATTCCTTCTCCCTTGGCATATTTCTGATGAGTTTTATTCTTTCCTTGCTTTTAGATTACATCTTTTTTTTTTAACTAATACTTTGGCATCATAATTTCCTCTTGTAGAATAATGGCCATTGACTGTTTTACTCTAATTTTGCTTTGGCTTCTCTTTAATTTTTCATTCTGTTGTGCTATTTTCTTGTTCTTTATTTAACCAGTTAAAGAAGACAAAAGTAAAATCCACATTCAAATACTGTAATATGAATGCATAAAGCATAAAACATCCATTAAACAATTTCCTCCTAAATAAACTAATTGAATCTCAGTATTTCAGTCTATATTTTCCCTACTGTCTCTTCAATGCATAAAATTAATAATGCACAAAACTTGTGTCCTCCCCCAACCACAAGGAAAAAATAAATCTTTACCTTCCCCCCTCTCCCCAATTTCATTTTTAGGTAAGGTAGTTACCATATGGACATGTTAAAAATCACATCTAAAATTATATGCAGGCAGATGTTCTGAAAATACTGTTTTTGGAGAAATATTTTTTTTTCTGAAAATCTGGAACATCAGACATGTTCCATCTTTATTTAATGGAACAGTCTAAACCTTGCTAAAATTATAACTTTCATGATTGATCACATCGTTGATCAAACCAAAGCTATTCTGGCATTAACATCTGTTAATCAGCCAGATGTTCTCTGTGGTCTCACTGACTGAAGAAAACTCTTTCCCTGCTGGTTAGGGACAAATAGAGAAGTGTTTAGGGTTTGGTTTTGGTTTGGGGCTTTTTTTTGCAAGGAACTCTTCTCATTGCTGAAGAAAGAGGAGCAAAATAAATTATAAAAAGCAAAAACATATGATGAGTTTCTTTAGATTTGTGCACTGGTCTATGGGAGTTGAACATATACAATCTGTGTCTTCTTTGGGTTAATAAATCTGAGCCATTTGTGACATCAATTACAGTCTTATATTAAAAGAGCATATTTGGAGTTTCAGTGACACAACAAAATAAAAACTACTTGTAAACCACAGCTCTTCACCTATTTTATAACTCAGTTTCTTACCAATCCTTGGCTTGTCCAAGTAAAATGTCAATATGTAAATTTACCTACCAGCAGTAATGGCAAATTCTCAGTAAGTGATTCATAATTAAAATATCTTTAGTGACATCCAGGCAGAATTGTTTTTTTTAAATGCTCCAACAAACTTAACCTTACACCCTTGATATAAAAGAGAAAAAGTGCTGCAGAGAGAAAGGAAGGAAAGAAGGAAGGAAAGAAGGAAGGAAGGAAGGAAGATAGTATTTGATTTATTTATTCCTAAGGATGTCTCAAATCAACATTGGGCACCAAGTTATCTTTAGGAAGTATGAAGAAAATTTAATTTTTTTTCAATCTTGCTTCAAATCACATTCTGTGCCTAATATTTACATATGTCATGCTTTAAATAAACCTAAAAGAGCATTAGAGTTATAAGCTAGAAAACATTTTAGCCTTAGAAGTCTAAAGGAAAAAAGATAATGGGTTATGTTAAAGATTGGCCTTGGGGTTATGGAAAACTGAGGCGATATTTGCACATTTTAGGCCCTGACTTCTTTTAGCAGCAGTTATCAGACCAGCCTCATATCAACCTCCTCCCTCCTTTCTTTGCCCACTACTTGCATCTGAATCCCTGACCAGGTAAGCCTGCCAGGGCAAGGGAAAAGCAGGACTGCGCATGCCTCCCTGAAGACACTGCTGTTAATATCACAACAGTCCTGCTTTATGCGATCACAGTGTTCTTTTCCTTGCATTCTCTCATGTTCATCCTCACAACAAACCTGTAAGGTAAGCATTATAACACTGACTTCATAGCCAGGGGAACTAAGGCTCAGCGTAGCCAAGTGACCACCCCAGGAATACACATTTGGTGAAGCAGCTGTAATTCTAACCTGGGTCTTCAAATCTCAGGTTAGAGCAGTTCTTTCCCTATTCTCTAGAGTAAAGGAGGTGGTTCACAGAAACAGTGAAAGGTCAGAAAGGATCAGGGCTGAAGAAGCTGACATTTCTTCCTCTGTATCACAAACTCTCTTTTGGAATAATATAACATGGACTCACACCCCCACACTCTGTTATGCTCACAAATCCAAGATGCTGGGTGCCTAATCTGGGAGGAGGGGCAAGAGGGTGGATGTCTCCAAAGACAGTAGGCTGGCCATGTGACTATTGTTTGTCTCTTGTATCCATGGAGAATGAAGGAACAGTGATGAATTTTTGCTCGCAAACAACCATTGAAAAAAAAAAAACAAAGAGCCAAAACAATTTATATTTGTGAGTGATCTTTGCCAGGTGGGACAATTACTGACCTTTTCTAAAGCCACTTGCAGTGTTGAACTGCATGCATCTGTGTTTTACCTTAGAAAATCACAATGAGAATTAATAACAGATTTCTTCACAGTAGGAGGGCTGGAGAGACTTTGATTTTGGAGCAGGGACCTGGCAGGCTGTTACCAGTTCTGAGCTTCTCGTGCATTGTTCTAGTGATGCAATATTTCAGAGTTACAAAAAGCTGGCTTTGAAGGTGAAGTACCCAGGGAGAAATTTGTTCCTTTCCTAGGTAAGCAAGTGTCCAGCTGCAGCCAAACCCAACTGGGCACATTTTTCCTTTATCTTTTCACAAGCTGACCCTAGACTCAGATGGTAATAAGGGAGAAAGGCACTCCATGAGGTCATCTGACTCAAGTTTAATAGTTGTTTATTGTTGTTGTTGTTTTGCCTTTTCTTTAAGTATCCTAATGTATGGTCCCTGGTAAGCTATGTAGCCTTGTGATTATTAAGTGTCTTTGAGTGGAATATTAAGAGTTTTTGTTTAAATAGCATCTCTACCACTTATTAACCATATGTCTTTCATCTGTTAATGAGGATAATGATAACTCACTTTTAGGATGATAGTGAAGATTACAAGAGTAATATTTGTAAAGCACCCAGCACATTGTCTAGCACATAACAAGTGTTTAATAAATCATAACTCCACAGATAGCATAGGAATGTATGTATAACACAAAGAAAGTTGAATAAACCTCACACACTTAAAAAAGAAAGAAGAAAAAATCCTCCTAAAAAAAGAATATCACAACTCTAATTCTTTTTGTAAAGTCCCCCTGAAAAACTGCAATCATGTTAGAAATAATAAATATAGCCATAATGTTACATTCCTAGTCCTATTTATTTCTCTTCAGTCTGATCAGCCCCCATCGCTGACCGTGATGTCAGCTCTCTTAATTGAACTTGTTAATGGTATTGGCTTGAAGGAATAAGGTAGCAACCAATCAGGACATAGCAGGCAAAAGTCTCTTCATGCCTTCCTTACAATTTTAAGAACTTGAATGTCTTGTATACTCAATGGACAATTCAGAACAATGTCAGGTTGATTTCCCAAAGGATAGAATTTAATGGTATAATCATTGCATATACGGAATACAGAGTCACATGAAAACGAGAGCAAAGCTAGAATGCATTCCTTGTTTGAAGTTAATTAAAGTTGTAGTGAAACAGCACATAAAACGCTGTCTGCAACCAACTAATTCTTCAATCGTAAAGATGTTGATTTATCTTGCTTCTAGTGCATATATTTTTCAAGCGTATTTTTCTCCTCGAATTAAGAGAAAAAGGCCGGGCTCAGTGGCTCACGCCTGTAATCCCAGCACTTTGGAAAGCCGAGGGGGCTGATCACAAGGTCAGTAGTTTGAGACCAGTCTGGCCAGTATAGTGAAACCCCATCTCTACTAAAAATACAAAAATTAGCTGGGCGTGGTGGCGGGCGCCTGAGGTCCCAGCTACTCTGGAGGCTGAGGCAGGAGAATTGCTTGAACCTGGGAGGCGGAGGTTGCAGTGAGCCGAGATCAAGCCACTGCACTCCAGCCTGAACAACAAGAGCAAAACTCTGACAACAAACAAACAAACCAAAAAAAAAAAAAAAAAAAAAAAAAACCCAGAAAACAGTTCTGCTACTCAAATAAACAAGACTGATTTTTTTTTGTTTGAAAACTTACCACGGAGACTTAAAATTGGAAGTTTCAAGTACTTCCTGCTGGTCTTTTACATGGCATTCACTTCAGGCTGCAGATAAAAGGAACAAAACTTTTTTTCCTGTTTTATTTTCCCTCTCAATTTCAGTAAATTTTTTGCCATTAAATACTCCCTGCATCGAGAACAGAGTCTGACTGGCAATAATTCTATGACTGTTTAGTGAATAAATACATAACGTTCTATTTTTGCTTTCTAAATGGCTTATGCCCAGCTATGTTCTTTTTGTATGATCAGTAAGACTCAAGCAACAATTGGATGATCTAAACTGATATGTGAATATATATGATAGATATTTGTATTATATATAACTCTCTCATATATGACATGTATATATGTAACATACATATAAGATATACATACATATATGTGTATACGTGTACCTGGAAGGATAAAGTCCAAATTCTCTAAGAGTAAAGTCAATACTGTAAGGGTAAAGTCAAAATTCTCTAACACAGCCTTCAAGGTTCTATGGCGATTGTCTTCTCCATATTTTTGGTACTCCCAAACAATTAGCTTTTTACTCAAGCTATTCACTTTTATTTCTCCATCACTTTATTTTTTCTATTTATAAGTTTATAATTATAAAGAATTATGATTTTTTTATCTGCTGTAAAAATTCTACTTATATTTCAAGCCCCAGAGTCATAGATGTCCTCTACAGTATGTTCTGTAATTCCAAGGTCAAAATTGATTCTTCTATCCATTGTACTTGTAACACTCTGGCCATATGGTTAAACTTAGTTCTGAACATGCTTGTCTTCCCATTATTTTGAGAGATTCTTAAGCCAAGTAGCAATGTCTTTTTCCAGTGTTTATTCTCTAGTTCTTTAGACCAGGCTTTATCCTTAAAAGAAGGACACAATAAACATTCAGGAAATGATTGAGGAAATGAATGAATGTACAAAAGCAATGTCAAACATGATTTCCATATGAAACATGTTGCTTGGCACTGGTGTTTATGAAAATGGCTCATGGTATAATCTGTGCTTTCAAAACAGAGTCTCATGGTTTCTCTCTGTATATTCCAACTCATCAAAGATTTGTTGCTGTTTTTTGTACAGTTGTTCATTTATTTCAACTCTTTGAAGAGGTTGGAGTTCAAAGCTGCCTTTTACCTTTTTTCATATTTTATGATATATTTTAGGCTGTTCTTGAATTAAGATGCATAAACCACTTACCCTAGAAAATGCGTAAGAGATCAAAGTAAAATACCTCTGGAGAGTTCAATTAAGAATTAGGAAAGGGTCATCATTTTACCATATAATTGTTTCTATTGTATCTTTCAAAGCCAAAATAATCTTTCTATGCTTTTCCAGACAATCATCGTCCACTCCTTCTTATAAACTCATATAGCATGGTGTATCACTCATTTGCTAATTAATCTCTGTCTCATATATATTCTGTATTACCACCTACTACTACTATACATTCTTCTTTCATTTAATTTCAATATTACAGATATCTTATTTCCTCAGTAGAGTTTAAACTCTTTGAGTACAAAATCTCCTTCAGAAATTAGTGGTCTGCTTCATGTATTATTCAAATATTCAAATAATAATTCATTTTTGCTTTGTTTTAAACTTTAGAACATACGGTGAAATATTCATGTTAGTGTTATTTGGGGGAGGGGTGTCATTTCTTTTGCTTAGTTTGGCTAATTTCGCTCTCTGTTATATGTTCAGCCTTTGCTGTTTTTTGTTTTTTGTTTTTTACTTTTGCAATGGTGATCAAGGCACTTAAGTCCAGCAAGCTACACTTGATGTATTTTGATTGAACAGGAATTGTTTGGTGGGACGATACTAAGGGAAATCATCTTGTGATTCATATTATTTTGCTCAGGATTTGAATGATTAAGCATACATGGTTCTAGAATTGGTTCTGAGAAATAACAAAAAAGACAAGAAAAGATTCATGCTGCATTAATAATAATGGAGTTTAAATGTCAAGTCTGATTTTTAACTCACAATTTTTGCTACTCCGTGCCCTGGTGTAGTCTGCTATTATTTTACCCATTTTGCTGTTTGTGTTTACTATACATACTGGAAGGAAGAAAGTTGCTTCCTTCATGCCTGTCTATTTGTCTCAGGTTTTTAGATTCATATCTGATTTCAATGAAGAAGAACTGAAAGTAAGTGAGGGGCTTCCATGGGATCCTTGAGGCTGTTTAACTATGAATAAATAAATGATGGTGAGAACCGTGGTTAAATAGTGTCAGTAAGCCTGTAGCAACTTGGGGTGGGAGAGCATGTTAAGGAGAAGCAAAAGTAGTCTCTCTGCTTCTCACCATCAACTTTGACTGTAGGCTGCGTGGAATACCAAAATGACCCATAGCCTTTCCTTCTCCACTCACTTTGAGTTTGGGCTGGGCTGGGGGAGGAGGAAGTAGGCAGGTAATTAGGAGGAGCAGGTAGAATTAAAACTATCCATAAGAAAATTAGAACACAAATATTGTTAATTATCTCTCTTTCTTTTCTCACCTGCCACCAAAAAAAAAAAAAAAAAAAAAAAATCACAAGAGACTCCAGTTACATTTGGAATGAAAAGTTAAGGAAAGATTGGTAGTCAATGTGTTTTTCTGAATTTTCTGCAAAGCAGCTCCATTCCAATGTCAACACTGCCATAATGCCTTGTCAAGCATCCACTAAAGAAACCATCTATACAACTGTATCACCCTGCCTAAGACGTGGTGGGTGGACAGTTTTCTGCTGTGGAATGTCAGTGTGCAACCTGCTCATCAAGCCCTCTGAAATTCCTAAGCCAGAAAGACTGCTACAGAATAGAACTCTTTATTTGAATGCTGAAAGCTCAGTACCTTTAAGGAGGTCCAAACTTCCTTCCCTG
Organism: Homo sapiens; assembly: GCF_000001405.40. Lineage (NCBI taxonomy): Eukaryota > Metazoa > Chordata > Mammalia > Primates > Hominidae > Homo > Homo sapiens. The sequence goes on from NC_000008.11 coordinate 35,152,029, forward strand.
CAAACACCTGACAGAGAGAAAAAAGAGAAGGCTACTGATAGGGTTTCCCAAGGGTGAAAATCTTTGTTAATATTTGTTAGCAACATGAAACTGGGAATCCCCAGGCAGCATTTCTGTTCATTTAGCCTGCAAAATCCTCTCATTGTCCTTTTGCATATAATGGAGTTAATTCCCAGAGCCTGCGCTAAACTAACACACGATGACAACTTCCTCAGCTGGACCTGGGGAGCTTGCAGTGTGAGGTTCAAGAGACGATGATCACCTGTCCCACTGTTTTCTAGCAGTGATGAACAATACAAACAAACTTTTTGAAATCTGCCTTGAAGCCAGTTTGCATTGGTCCGTCCTCTGCCGCTTGTTACCGATAGGTGGAGCTGCTGCAAAGCAGATCAATGCATATACATGTACAGCGCCTACAGGACTATGTTCAACAGATAGCCGCTGAGACATGCATGCACTCTGGCATATCCTGACAGCTATCAGAGAAACCAGCCTTAATTCTGTCACCAAAAGTGATATTTATTCACTACGTAGGGGATTCATCCACAAATTAAAAGAGTATGTATTTGCCCAAGATCCAAATCTTGACCTTCACTTAAATAAACCTAGACTTTTCTTTAATCATTTTTGAGTTCTTTTCCTTAAATGAACTTAACTATAATTGACTTCATTAAAATATTTTACAAATATTCATTACAGTACAATTTCTTCAGCAAGTCCTACTGTTAGAGCATTGTTGTGGTCTGTTTTAACATATGACAAACAAAACTTCATTTATTTTCCCTGCTTACCAGGCATAGTTCTTCTGGGCTTTGAGAACAATACTATTTAATGATGCCATGGACCCTAGGCAAGAACAGAAGCTCTGACTTCAGTATTCTATCCAACAGAGGGAAGGAAAAAAATCAAAACCAGATCAAAGCACGTACACACACACGTACATACATAGACACATACATGTATATGAATGTATCTATCTTTCCTACAAAAATGTGCCCATGTGTTTTACTATATATCTTTTCATATCTTGACAGGAGAAGTGTAGTCATTTTATTGAAATTGTGTGCATAAAGATAAAGCCAGCTTAAAAGAACAGCAAGGAGTTGAACATTACTTCAATTCATCTGAAATGAGTTGTTGATCAACTAAAAAGAAGCTGTGAGGAAAGAAATGCTAAATAAAGCCAACTGTCCTGCCTTACCTATAGTTGTCTATTTCTCTTCTCCAATTATGGGGCTTATTAGCCAGTGAGTGATATTGGAGCTCAGTTTCCTGGAATTATGATTCCATGGGGAAAATAACATGGACCTGTACAAACTTCCAAGCCTGCAAGACATCTCTGAATTGTTTCTGCCATACAAAAATGACCTAAAGCCTTCCAAAATTGGTACTGAATATTTTTGCTTATAATTCTGGCAAGACATAAATTTCCAATGACACCCAATGTAACTTTCCCTGAAATCATTCACTTCCTCAAGAAGCTACTGAACTATCTAAGTTTAGGTAGATAAACTAAACTTAACTATCCAAAAGCCAGCCATATACTTTCTCCATAATTTAATGGGGTTAGGCAAATGTTAACTTCACAAGCATGGAAGGCCTGGGCAGAACAATAGTAAGCAAAGTGCCAGGTAAATATCAAGAGCAATGGCCCACATGAAAGTTATTAGAACTCAGTTGGCCTCAACTCTAGTTTCATCACCAGTGGAGCTTGTTTATTCCTGCCAAGCTCAGCCTTTCTAAAAGAGTCATCTCCTCAGAAACGTAACATAGGAAAAGGCAGACTTCCTGAAACTAGATATTTTAAAATATTAATCATGGAACCTTGGTTAATGGAATACCTTAAGAACGCCCAGAAACCTACGATGGTTCCCAGCTTAGGTTTTAGATTCAGTGAACACTGAACTGAGTTTGCCAACCCTGTTGCAAGGTTCCATGATTAATATTTTAAAATATCTAGTTTCAGGAAGTCTGCCTTTTCCTATGTTAGGTAAATAATGCATTTTCACATAAGAGAAATGTGATAGTATCGGGGAAATTGCTCCAAAACCATGACCTCCATCCCAATGGAAAATTATTGAACCATAAATTCAATATTGTGAAAATCAATTCCTAAACCTCCTACAGCTGAATGTTTATTCAGTTCAGTCCTGTTTCCATGCATGCTACTCTATGTTTCTCCAAATAATGTCTTTTAAACTAACTCATAGTTTTCTTTTTTTTAAAAAAAAAAAAAAAAGATTATCTTCCATTTCTAAAGACAAGGAATATTTGAAACCCAATTAAATTTTTTTTCTCTTGATAATGCAGACATTTTCTAAAAGTCACCTTTCAGTCAATGCAGGGTCTACCTTAGATAGCCATTGACAAATTATATTTCTGATCTCTAGTTCTCTCCCTTTGTTTCCCTACTCCTTATTCTACACATTAGATTTAAAGGAAAATAAAACACAAAGATGCTTGGGCTCACTCCGAGATATTCTTGTTCACTTGCTGTGCAGGCAAGAGATTTTAGAATCAGAGATCCAGTGAAAGACTATCGTTTATTGAATTTTCTCTGAACAATACATTGTCAAAGCATCATTTCAGAAAACCTATGACACATTCATTGGTCTCATGAATTTTTATTAAGTTCTTAGTCAGTGGGGCAAATTAAATTTTAAGGTAGTGGTTATAAAGGCTGTAATTCTTCAAAGTGATTCATCTCAATCACAGAAGAATATTCTTAATAGCACTCATCACCTTCTAAAAGTATTTAATTGTATCATGTTTATTTTCTCTCCCCTCCAACTGAATGAAATTTTACAAAGAACATTGGAATGGTACTTGATACATCATAGGGATTCAACAAGAAATGATGATAAATAAATACATTAAACACTATACCAAACATTGTGGCATTACATATGGATGCCACATAGAAAGTTAATTAATCCTCATTCACTGGTAGTGGGAATGCAAAGTGGTACGGACAGTTTTGAAACTAGTTTACCAGTTTCCTATGAAATAAAACAAACACTGTATTACTCAGCAGTGAAACTCAGCTCTCTCACTTCTGGGTATTTGGCCAGTGAATTGAAAACTTATGTCCACAAAAGAACCTGTACATAAGCTTTATTCATAATTACCCAAAACTGGAAACAACCGAGATATCTTCCAGTAGGTAGACAGATAAGCAAACTCTCGTACATCCATGCAATGGAATATTACTCAGCAATAAAAAGGAATGAGCTATTGATGAAACATGAATTCATTTTTCTAACAAAGGAAATTTAGATCCAAAAAACTGTACATGGTGTAGTTCACTTAAGTAACAGTCTTGAGGAAGCAAAACCATGGAAGCAGAAAACAAATGAGCATTTGTTAGAGAGATTTGAGGAGGGTAGAGGCTGACCACATGGAAGCACATAGGGAATTTATAGGGTGATAGAACAATTCTGTATGTACTGCAGAGGCATATAAATGACTCTATGCACCCATCAAAACCATAGAACTATACGCCATAAAAACTGAAAGTCACTACATGCAAATTAAAACAAATGAATAAATAAAAACAGTAGGGCAATCCTAGATGGAATACAGACTCTGATAAATGAAATTAACTATATTAGGATTAGGTGAGAAAACCTCACTGAAAGGAGTGGGACAAAAAAATGAGCTGGCTTAAGTAACTTTGGTAAACAGTGTATTGACTGGAAAATACAGGACTTAAAGACAAGAAAAAAGATCTGTATGCAAGCACTACACTGTAGTGGGAATTTGTGTCTTTCAGGGGTACAGCCTAACAATTCTGAAATTACATGTTTAGAATTTAACAAACAAGTAAATGAATTGTAAGTAATGGGGGAGCCAAATTTCTCACTGTCAGCAAAAGAAGCTATAAATAATCAAATGGAAGGTGGATTAGAGTAAGAGATGTAGTATAAATTCATTTTATTTATTTATTTAGATAGAGATAGATAGATGTTTGTATACATGGGGTAGTATTCATACAGATATATTTCGCAGTTCTGTGCACTGAGATGGCCTAAAAGCAGTGACAGCGCAGTAGCAGTAAGTACCACTAACATCATATCTTGATTTCTAAATATAAGTTGAACTATCGCTTTTCACAGATGATATAATTCTGCATCTAGAAAACCCCATAGACTCCATCAAAAGGCTTCTAGAAGTGATAAATGATTTCAGTAAAGTTTTGGGATACAAAATCAATGTACAAAATTAGTAGCATTTCTGTACAACAATAACATCCAAGCTCAGAGCCGAATCAAAATGGCAATCCCATTTATAATAGCCACAAAAAGAATAAAATACCTAGGAATAGAGCTCACCAAGGAGACGAAAGATCTCTACAATAAGAATTACAAAACACTCTTGAAAGAATTCAGAGATGACACAAACAAACAAAAAAAATTCCATGTTCATGGATAGCAAGAATCAATATTGTTAAAATGGCCATACTGCCCAAAGCAATTTATAGATTCAATGTCATTACTATCGAACTATGAAAGTCATTTTTTACATACCTACAAAAAACTATTCTAAAATTTATATGGAACCAAAAAAGAGCCTGAATTGCTAAAGCAATCCTAAGCAAAAAGAACAAACCCAGAGGCATCATACTACCCAAACTTCAAATTATCCTATAAGGCTACAGTAACCAAAACAGCATGGTACCACTATAAAAACAGACACATAGACCAATGGAACAAAACAGAGAACCCAGAAATAAAGCCACATGCCTACAAATCATCTTATCTTCAACAAAGTCAATAATAACTAACAATGAGGAAAGGATTCCCTATTCAATCAATGGTGCTGGGATAACTGGCTAGCCATATGCAGAAGATTGAAAGGTGGACCCCTTTCTTTCACTATATACAATAATTAACTTGAGATGGATTAGAGACTTAAATGAAAGACCTAAATCAATAAGAATCCTAGAAGAAAACCTAGGAAATAATCATTCTGGATGTTAGCCTTGACAAAGAATATATGACTCTGCAAGTCATCAAAAGCAATTGCAAGAAAGACAAAAATTGATGAGTGTGACCAATGAAAGACCTTCTGCACAGCAAAAGAAACTATCATCAAAATAAACAGACAACCTATAGATGTGGGAAAATATTTACAAACTATGCATCTAACAAAGGTCTAATATCCAGAATCTAAAAGGACCTTAAACAAATAGCAAGCATTAAACAAATTACCTCATTAAAAATGGGCAAAGGACATGAACAGGCACTTCTCAAAAGAAGACACATATGCAGACAACAAATTCATGAAAAATTGCTCATCATCATGAATCATTAGAGAAATACAAATCAAAACCACCATGAGATAACTATCTTACACTAGTCAGAATGGCTACTATTAAAAAGTCAAAAAGCAACAAATGCTAGCAAATCTGTGTAGAAAAGGGGACAGTTATATACTCTTAGTGGGAATGTAAATTAATCACTGTGGAAAGCTGTGTGGAGAATTCTCAAAGAACTTAAAACAGAACTACATTTGATGCAGCAATCCCAATATTGGGTATCTATCCAAAGAAAATAAATCATTCTACCAAAAAGACACATGCATACATACATTCATGATAGCACTATACACAATAGCAAACATATGGAATTAACCAAAATGCCTATCAGGAGTAGACTAGATAAGAAAATGTGGTATATATACACCATAGAATATTATGCAGCCATAAAAATGAATAAAATCCTGTCCTTTGCAGCAACATGGATGGAGCTGAAGGCAGTTATCACTGGCCTCATTGTAGAACTAATGCAGAAACAGAAAGCCAAATATCACATGTTCTCACTTATAAGTGGGAGCTAAACACTGAATACACACAAACACAAAGATGGGAAAAATAGACACTGGGGACTGCTTGAGGTGGGAGGGTGGGAAGGGAACATGGGTTGGAAGGCTACATATGGGGCACTATGCTCAATATCTTGGTAACAGGATTAGTTTTACATCAAGCATCAGTGACACACAATCGACTCATGTAACAAGTGTTTACATGTATCCCCAAACCTAAAATAAAAGTAGGAAGGAACAACTGTGCCATTATGCTCCTCCCTTCCCTCATCCTTTAATAAACATCATCTGAACCTCTAAATGCCATTCTCCAATAATAGGAACCAAGGATCCTTGTAGAAATAGCTGACTCGGGCCGGGCGTGGTGGCTCACACCTGTAATCCCAGCACTTTGGGAGGCGGAGGCGGGCGGATCACGAGGTCAGGAGATCAAGACCACAGTGAAACCCCGGCTCTACTAAAAATACAAAAAATTAGCCAGGTGCAGTGGCGGACGCCTGTAGTCCCAGCTACTCAGGAGGCTGAGGCAGGAGAATGGCGTGAACCCGGGAGGCGGAGCTTTCAGTGAGCTGAGATCGCACCACTGCACTCCAGCCTGGGCGACAGAGCGAGACTCCGTCTCAAAAAAAAAAAAAAAAAGAAGAAGAAGAAGAAATAGCTGACTTTAGGGTAGGGTCCAGGAAAATATGAGATAATTCTGGAGCATCTTCAAGTGCCAGAAATTTTTAAAGTGCTTTAAAAACTGGGTGCATATCAAAAAGACATAAGAGCTCCCAAAGGACAATACTGGAACAAAATAAATAAAAGAAATATTGAATTATAACACTAATAATAAAATAAAGATTCATGACATTGTGGTATAAATAAATAGAAAACGTGGCAAATATTTTAATGGAAAAATCTTTAGGATTACAATGATAAACATAGGATGAATGAAGGAAATAAAAAAACCATTATTAGACCATCATAGAAATAATTACTTCTTGCAAGATCCACAGATAGATGTTAAAATTAATGAGCAAAATGTTAAGGAGAAAATGAAAGTTTGAATAGCCTCAAAGTAATCTCTCCCACAACACTTATTAATTAATTTCCATCGTGATTCTTAACATATGTCCACAAATTCTTTGGTACACCTTTCTGCAGGAAGCACACCTTAATTTCTCTTCTCTGTAATGTAGGCTGGACTTAGTGACAAATTTCTAATGAATAAAATATGACAAGGAAAAAATAATAACTTAGTAGAGAAACCTGGTAGACACTAACTTAACAAGTGTTTAATGTTGGCATCATCAATAATAAGCCATGATGACATCATGTACCTTCTAGTATGATGTGTTAGTCTGTTTACACACTGCTATAAAGAACTTCCTGAGACTGGGTAATTTATAAAGGAAACAGGTTTAATTGAGTCACAGTTCCACATGGCTAAGGAAGCCTCGGGAAACTTACAGTCATGGTGGAAGGTGGAGGAGAAATAAGCACCTTCTTCACATGGCAGCAGGAGAGGAAAGCAAGCCGAGGAATTGCCAGACACTTGTAAAACCATCAGATCTTGTAAGAACTTACTCACTATCACGAGAACAGCATTGAGGGAAACTGCCCCCATGATCCAATTACCTCCACCCGGTCTCTCCCTTGACAGGTGGGGATTATGGAGAGATTATAGGGATTATAATTCAAGAGGACATTTGGGTGGGGACATGGAGCCTAACTATATCAGATGTTATGATGGGGGCATTTCATCTTTCCATTAGTTTCCCAAAAAATTCAGAACCTTCATCTAATCATGAGAAAACCTAAGGTAAATTCAAACTGAGGGACATTGTACAGAATATTTTTCCAGTACTCCTCAAAGTGTCAAAATCATACACACACATACACGTAAAAAACTGTCAGATATTGCAGGAAACTAAGGTGGCATGATGACTAAATGCAAAGTGGTATTCTGTATTGAATTCTGGAGCAGAAAAAGGTCATATTTGAAAAACTAAAGAAAACCAAATAAACTCTGTAGTGTAGTTGTACTGATGATAATTTCTTAATTTGGATAACTATACCATAGTGATATAAGATATTAACCTTAGGGGAAGCTGGATAAAAGATATACAGGAATTCCCTATACTATCTTTGTAATACTTCTGTAAATCTAAAATCATTTCAAAATAAAAACTTTTAAAAGAAAAGCAAATAATACATGCCAAATGAATAGTAAGAACAAAAACTGACCACGGATACTGCTGTGAAGCTGGACATTATCAAGGGACCAGGTTAGAAATTGAATGCTGAAGGGTGGTTGAGATTTGGAGACCTAGAAGGTAACAGAAAGGTGCAACATGAAGAGTTACAGCAACAGAAGTGCATGAAGTGGGTTAAGAGAGCAGTGAGTGAACCAGTCACTGAGTCAGGCTGGAAACTAAGTGAGGGGCAGAGTTAGGGCTCTGTCATGGCATTGCAATGTAGGCATGTGATTTAATTACTTGCAATATTTCTTTTTCTAAATGAAAATATCTTTACCCTTATTCCTAGATGAAAGGGTGAGTTCCTTACTACAATTCAGACGTTATGTCTTCAAATTATGTGACTAATAAAGATACAGGATTTGTTTTGATCGAATCTGAGGCTTTTGTTCCTCACTATCAATGACCATTACTGACCCAAAAGGTTGGTAAAACATGTATTTAAGTCAGTGTCTTAGAGGGAAATTAGGTGGAGAAGTTTAAGTCAATGGATTAGAAGAAATGATGTGAGCTTGCCTGGATCAGTATGTTTGTTTTGCAGTTGTGGTGGTTGTTTATAGTTTTAGTCAAAGACCCAAGCAAGCACTCCAGAGCCCATGCCCTCTGTTATTATTTCTCCTCACAAGAAGGTACCTACCCAAAGGTCTCTCCTCTCTTGTCATCTTTGTGCATTGCTTCAGTGAAGCCATCTTTACTGAAAACATTCCTGGTTGTTTCTATATGATTTAACATTTATGCTAGTTAAGGAGACTGGTTGGAATGACTGTGGCATTGTGCATTTTCACATCCCCTTTTATTCCCATCTAGAAAGCTTCCTATGGCACTCAAGAGCCCTCTGTGGTGTTCTTTACTGTGCAACATCTTTTCCACATCGATGTTTTATGGGAGAAACACAAAGCTAGTCCTCTAGGGGCCTAGCACGCTACTTAGTTGAAGTTAGACTAATGATAGGAACTGCACATGAAGCATGGAGGCTAATTCCCTTCACTATCTTTATTTCATTGGCAATCATTAAATGCTCCTGGCAAAGTGTTTCCAAGTATCAATCCCTCCATCCAAAAGCAAACACACATTAAGCCTCCTCATTGCTGTCAGTCCTACACACACACACACACACACACACACACACACAGATACACTTCACCTTCATTATTGGAGAATCAAGCCCAGAAACGATTGTCTGCTTTTGAAGAGGAAAATTATTTCTTTCCTGCAGGTAATGAAACGTGTAAAAATGTGCCCATGAAACCTCTATCTCCTAGGAATTCACAGCTGCTCAAGCCAGACTTTCTGCTGGTAACAAATTACTGAGTAGGGGGTCTGGGGGGTATTTTAAACAGCTTGAGGTGGGCCAAAAAGGTATTTTAATCACACTCCATGCTAACCTCTGGACAGTAGGTGGCAAAGTAATCCTGGAAATTATTTATTTTGTCCCCTAGTCCCAACAACAGGATCCAACATAAGTAATTTTAATAAACCTACTTTTGTTCTTAAAATTAATTATGGACCAGTCCAGAGAGCACTGAAGATTATTAGCTCCTGCCTGACAAGAGTGTTTTACTGTAGATGTTGGCAGAAAAACATTTCCTAAAATATGGACCTAATTAAACTGAAAATATGGAATGTTAAAGTTCGGACCTTAGACTCATAGTGTGATTTGATCCAGCAAAAAAAAAAAAAAAAAAAAAAAAAAAAACTAAACAGCCTTTTAATCCATGCAGAAATTAACGTTGTGTAAGAATGTGAGTTTGGTGCCAATGAGGGATTCCAGCCAGAAACCCAGAGACCAAGAGAAAGCCCAGGTAATTGTAACCAATAACTCTTACCATCTCCTCCCAGCTCCTGCCTGGAACCATAGCCCTGTCCCAGAGCCGCTCCATTCTTTATATAGAGTAGCTTGAAGCCCCATTCAGACTTTTGCATTACTATGAAAATTCAAACAAAGGCTTGCTTATGGAAGTGGTTTTTGTCCTATGAATGCCTCATATTTTGAAGGGAAAAGAATTATGTTTAATCCCAATTTTTTCTTGTTTTGCTGTGCTGGTCAATTTGCCTGCAGGAATTCTCTTAGATCTCCCCATGCTCCCAAATCCTTTCCCCCGATGCACACATGCATGCATGTACAAACACACACACACACACGAAAATCACTGGAACTGAGTCCCTAAGAAAACGGAGACACAAGACTCTTTTTTATGCACAGTGCCAAGCAGAAGCAAAAACTGCCTGCTCCTATTAATAAATTATGTTTTATTTCAACAAGAAAGCCCTGCTCTTTCTCCATCTCTGCTTTGCACACACTCACATACATCTACTCACAGAAATATTCTTACTTTCAGCACATGATCAATAGGAGGGTACATTCCTGAGGAAACTTGTTGAGTGGGCTTCATGAATCTAGCAGGCAATAGAAACTCTGGCAAAATTTTCCAGGAAGAATAAGCAGGGTAATCATCATGAAACCTGATTTTAGTCACCTGGAGAGAAAGTGAGTGAGCAATGGCCACTACGGGTGGGACTCACACAGTCACTTCACCAGCTAAACCTGCCACAGGGTGTCCTGATGTGATAGCTTGACATTAGATAAATAGATAACCAGGATGAAAAAATCACTGGGGAACATAATTGCACCTGACTGAGAGGGATAGTGCAACATTTCTGGATCCTCCAAACTCTTTTTGTAAGAAATCACTCTTTGTCATCAAAAAGCCTCATCATTAAAGTCTGGTAATGTTAAGGGGTTTTATTATCTCTGAAGAAAAAAGAAACAGAACAGTCAAACAAAAAAATGTTTACTAGGAAAACAATACTGTGGGTTCTTTCACACTTCAGATGAAGAACTCAAAAATCAATTTACAAAGAAAATCTTGCTATTCCTGTTAATTAGGAACTCTGCAGATGAAAAATTCCCTTCTTTGACTTTAATTTCTGCCGTAAATTTGAGAAGCAGCTCAGCTGATGTTCTCGAAAGCTCCACCTGTTAAGGATATATCATGCCAAAGTTTTTTTTATAAAATGATCTTTTCCTTTTTTATGCGTACAACTTTCAATTTCTCTTCTTCTATGCTTCAGCAAATACAAGCAATACGTTGCGTTCAAGCAGAATTTTCCACCTAGCTCATCCTAGACATCATGGCCAAGTCCAACCTGAATAATTTTGTATACTACTTAATGAAAATGTTTTCTTTGTTTAAAAGAAAAAGGTTTATCAAGCTGTGAAATGTGATCATTCTATCTCAGCTCATTACAATTGCCCTTTAAATAATCAGTAATCATCCTCTTCTAACATTTAGTTCTTTCTTGGGCTGTAGCTGAAGGAATAAAAACCATCAGAGTAATGGGTGCTCTTCCTCTCCAGGAAGCAATCAGTTTTAAAGCTTTCTTTTTCATCCTTTCATCCTTCTCACTTTGTTTCCTTTACTTGGGTGACTTTCTCTTCACCACCACCTACATGTTTAAAGAATGGTATTTGTCCTAAATAAAAAAATGGTTTCCAGAATCTGATAGATATTACCTCTTTTTTTTTCTTTTTGAGATGGAGTCTCACTCTGTCACCCAGGCTAGAGTGCAGTAGCGTGATCTCAGCTCACTACAACCTCCACCTACTGGGTTCAGGTGAATCTCCTGCCTCAGCCTCCCCTGTAGCTGGGATTATAGTACCCACCATCACGCCCGGCTAATTTTTGTATTTTTAGTAGAGACGGGGTTTCACCATGTTGGCCAGGCTGGTCTCCAACTCCTGACCTATAGTGATCTACCCATCTCGACCTCCCAAAGTGTTGGGATTACAGGTGATTATGGACTGAAATAACATACCCAGTGGACATTACCTCTTAAAACCAAGAGAAGAGATATGAACTGTACTTACGCTCTGCAATACATCAATATGGTTTGGCTCTGTGTCCCTACCAAAGTCTCATCTCAAATTGTAATCCCCATATGTGGAGGGAGTGACCTGGTGGGAGGCGACTGGAACATGTGGGTGGTTCCCCCATGCTGTTCTCATGATAGTGTGTTCTTATGAGTTTTATGATTTTATAAGTATTTGGCATTTCCTCCTGCTCTTTCTCTTTCCTGCTGCCTTGTGAAGAAGGTACTTGCTCCTCCTTCGCCTTCTGCCATAATTGTAAGTTTCCTGAGGCCTCCCCAGCCATGTAAAACTGTGAATCAATTCAACCTCTTTCCTTTATAAATTACCCAGTTTCAAGTAGTATCTTTATAGCAGTATGAGAATGAACTAATACATAAGTTATTTTATTTTTCCTCATAATAAGTGTGTGCCAGGCATCATTGATCTCCAGTGACTTAAGAAAACTGGGGTGCACAGAGTTTATATAACTTATGCACAACTGAGCTGAGAGATGGGATATCAATTCAAGCTTCTGTTACTGCCAAGCCTATCTTCCCTCTGCTACACTGTGTTACTTCCACAGGTCAAAAATGGGTGACGAAGAACTACCAAGTAAAATCTAGGAAAACGGAAACTGGGGATATTTTTGTTTGCTTTCTTTTTAAATGAAATATTAAATCATGAAAAATGGCATTTGCATTGTTTACACTTCAGTATTAATATTGGTGTTACAAGTTTTTTGAATGAACACTAGTGGAAATCAGTTATTATAAAATAATTTTTAGAAACTAATAAATGTGTATTTTTAATTTCAAGAAAAATAGAAAGAAATTTACCCCTCTTTAAGCATCATCTGGATCTTTAATTTTAAAATGCCAACATAAGAAAAATGGCAGTGCTAAAAGCCAGAAATTTACCAAACGAAACATGAATCTGGCCCTTTAATTACCTATGCTGAATAGAGTTTCAAAAGCACACCATGAATGATGAAAAATCTTTTCCTGTTAAGAAAAGAAGCCTGTCATCTATTGGTAACAAGAGCAAGAAACATTTTTGAAGTCTTAACTCTATCTTTGTGTATGGCATCTACAAATATACATAGATCAAAAGGCAAAGAATCATTTACCACCTACACGCATAAGTATAATCTCAGAATTTTACTTTTTAAAATTCAACTTATCTTAGCATCTTCCTCTTAAAATATAATCTCAGTATCTTACACTTAAAATCTAACTCATGCAACTCAATTATTTATAGTGTGAATTAAACTTGTGTCTACAAAGGAGGAAATTTAGAAATCTTTTGCAATAACACCTATACAGTAATTAATACATAACATCTAACTAAATTCTCATTTATTTATTTTTTATTATAATATTTTTATTGGTAAGTATCAGAGTACTATTACAAAGACCAGCCGAATATTATACCAATGCTGTCAATAAGTTATATAAAAGGTAGAAAATATATAATTATATATTGCATATATATGGTTTCAAGGTATATTATATACTTGTTTGTGTTTATGTAGTGCTTCTTCACCAGGGGTTGGCCAACTACCCTTAGGGCCAAATACTGCCCACTGCCTGTTTTTGTAAATAAAGTTTTATTGGAACAAAGCCACATTCTTTTGTTTATGTATTATTTATGGCTGCTTTCATACACACACAATGGTGGAGTCAAATAATTGCAATGACACCTTCTGGCCTCAAAGCCTAAAATATTTATTATCTGGCCCTTTACAGAAAATGCTTGCCAACGTCAGATCTATATATAACACAATACTATCAGTTTTTGTAGGACTGGGTTTCATTAAGGATCTTTCCTGGATTTGTTGCAGCAACAAATGCTGAAATTATTTCTGTAAATTAATGGGAGGCTAAATTCATATAGTTGAATAAACTCTGTGATGATATTTCTGTTCAAGATAACACAACTGAGAAATTAGTACACACTGATATATCTCTATATGGGTATATATATATATATAGATTAGACAGATAAATAGATAGATAATAGATGATAGAAAGATAGATGATAGATAGATGATAGATAGATAGATAGATAGATAGATAGATAGATAGATAGATAAATAGATAGATTAGAAATATGGTTTTGCTCTCTTTCGCAGGCCTGAGGGCAGTGGCATGATCATAGTTCACTGCAACCTCGAACTCGTGGGCTCAAGTGTTCTTCCCACCTCAGCCTCCCCAGTAGCTGGGACTTACAGATGCCTAATACTACACCCAACTAATTTTTTTAGTTTTTATAAAAATGGGACTGTGTTGTACAAGCTGGTTTCAAACGTGCCTCAAGCAATTGTCCCACCTCAGCCTTCCAAAGTGTTAAGATTTCAGGGTTGAGCCACTATGCTCAGCCTACATACCTATATATAAATCCTATATACCTGTTTCCAGCTCTGAGGGAAGTCATGATTATCTTTTATACAGGGAGACCTAAGACTCAGAATATTAGTTTCATCATCTGGACCACCAATATGTAAAGTAAATGGATGCTACCTTAACGATGTGCCAATAATTTGAACTGAAGATTCCTGTCACAGCTTAGTCTAGAATACCTTGTCTTCAACTCATGTGAAAAAAAAAAACCTCAAAATAATTACAATCTGCTACAAAGAGTGCTAATCATTATTCCTTCAGGATTTCTCTGGTTTATATTGCATCAATTTGCACAGAAAGAGAAGAAAAAATCTAGGTAGTGTTTATTTCTCTTCCCATCAATTTATCAGGAGCCAGAGAACACCTTTAGAGCATCAGAATCACTAGTCCAATCCTATAAAAAATTGCTTTAGACTGGGGGTTTTGTACACTCAATGACATTTGGAGTCTGCTTCTCTTGTACCTCTTTCTGTCATCAGCTCAACCTGGTTTTCTAGTTACTGATTTCAGGTGATCGTTTCTTGGTTCCAGCTCTGGTTTCTCTCTTATACAGCTGTCGTCATCTTCTCTATATTTCATTATCTCAGTGTTCAACTCATTTTGTTTTTACTTCACTACAGGGACTGAAAAAGATTAATTCTCTCTGCTTCTCCAGAAAGGCAGCTCACCACCAGCTCCTGCTGATCATAACCCTTTTGCCTGTATCACATCAGACATAGTAAAATACTTTCGCTGAATTAAAATTTAACATTACATCCTTATTTTTCCTTAGGATCACTATAAGAAATGTCCTCATGAAGGAAGTTTTGAATCTTCTTGAAAAGTTCCTTTGAAGGAATCATTCATTATTAATCAGGAACCATAATAAAATAATTTGTGTTAGGTTGTGCTTGCAGAATTTAGTGCCAAAAACTGTTTGTCTTTTCAAAATAGCTTATAGGCATCCTTTTTTCAGATCATGAGTAAATAGAATCTTTCTTATTTATTTGATTGTTTTTGCTTTAATATCTGGGGACTCAAGACTAAATACACATTTAAGTGTAACTACTGCTGAGGCCAAATTTCTATGAGAATTTTTACTCCCATTTTCTGTGAAATCACAGATCTCTCTTTGGGACACAAAATAAATATGAAAACAACCAAATAATGTCTATTTTATTGTGATATTTTGCTGGTATTTTTGTCCTTATGATTTATGGATAAATTGGACATAGTGTTGACATACCACATGCCCTCAATAAATAATCACTATCTGTATAGATATATGATTACCACTCTATACACATTTGGAAGAAGAGAGCCCATTTATGAAAATTCATGGAGAAACAATCAAGTGCTTCAAGATTCATGTATTTTTACAGAGACTTACTGACATGGTATATTGCTATGTTAGTGTAGTAAAGACATAAAGTGAGAAAGTAGTCTACCTGTTAACAGTGATCGCTGCATAATGTAGGAATCTAGATCTTGGGAAAGACAAAACACACAATGAATAATACTTGCTTAAAGGAAATCACAATCTTTTTTTGTTGCTTAACACAACTCATTATTATTTCTCAAGGTTCTTGTAGTTGGCTGGGCCCACCTAGCTGGTTTTGCTTGGGACCTCTCCCAACTTGTAGTGAGAAGGTTTTTCCTTTTTTTGTGTGATGCCTGGGCTAAGATGTCTGCAACAGTTGAGGATTATTGATTGGGTTTGTCTCTTGCTCCCACTCTCTCTGTGCAGCCTTTCCATGTGAGCTACTTCACAGCATGGCAGTCTCAGAGTAGTTGAACTTTTCACATGGCAAATGACTTTCTTTAAGCAAAAACAACAAAAACCTAAAAGCATTTTAAGAGATTTTTTTAAAATAGTTGTAATAGTTAATGAGCACTTATTCCCATGTTAGATACTATGAATATATCTTACTCCATTCTCATAATAACCCCACAAAATGGGTACCTCTTTTCCTATTTTAATGATAAGGAAACCAAGACTCAGAATTATTATGTGATTGTACAAGTCCGCCTCACTCTAAAATGTGCAATCTAGGGTTTTTCCCTAAAACCCACATATTTTCTTCTATCAGAGCCACCTCTTATAAAACCATAAAATGTTGAATGGCAATACAATAGATAAATAAAATTCAATACATAATACAAGCGATGTTATAAATCCCATGTGATCAACAGCTAAATTAAAATGTAGACAATTACTCTAGGAATAGAGTAGAGGGAAAATTCCCTATGAACTGGTGTTTCTGAAGAGCCTTCTTTGAAGAGGGTAAGTGATCTAAGTGCTATAAAATTTTGTGCACAAAAACTGAAGATAATTTATCAAAGCATACATTTTAATATTTGTTTATTAAAGAAAATTTGCTTACTTCAAACTTTAAAAAAGAAACTTTTGCTTACTTCAAAATTATGTAACTATATTTGCCCTTCCTTTATATAGATATTAAAATCCCAGATCTGTAAAAGACAGAGTAGATACAATTTTCTTTAAGTGGCTTGGGTAATAACTCTTGGTCATCAAGATATTTTTGCTGATTTCCTCTTTACTGTATTAGATTATATGACCATTATGATATAATCCTAAAAGAGAGTATAATCAGCTGATTAAAGCAGGAAGAAGAGACTATTTCATTAGAAGAGGCAGTTGTCCTTTCCTTTATGGAGAGAATAATGATCATAATGCCAAATTGACTGAGTATTTTCTCTGCTGGTTGCAGACAGAGAGATGGGCCTTGTGCAACCCTAAAATACACTTCCAACTTTGTCTTATTCCTGCTGTATGTGTTATCACTGAGTTTAGAGCTGTATTCTTATGTTGCTTTTTACTGCAAACACATCCCTGGTGAGAGTTCCAATAAGGTAGAGGGCATGCAGTAGATTCATCTTTATGCTGGCAATTTAACCCAAATCCAGCAAGGTGAGACCATGACAAGTTAGGCAGTAGAGCCCTGCAATAGGTTTGCAAGCTGGTATTTCATACAACCATCTATTGTTTCTAAAGCTAGAGCTAACATCCTTTGCCAGAGCCTTAAAGAATAAAGTTGCCTTGGTAAAATGTGCATAAAAATATTCAAACATTTTTTTTCTTATTATGCTTTCTACCAGTAGGATTACAATTTTCTTAATATTTCTTTGGCACCAACCAGAGTCTTTTGGCTTGGTATATAAAGTAATTCAATGATTCTGGCAAGCACCTAGACTCTTAAGTTCCTGGGGGCAGGGATGTAGTCACGACAGTAAAATCCTTCCAGGTTTCTAAGGTGGTGCTTGCCTACATTGTGGTTGCTTCATAAATAATACATTTTGAATGACTTCCTTCTGTACACTTCACTCTCTACTAATATCGAACTTGTGCATCTGGCTTCACACCCAGCCACTAATCTGTCCCTTGCTTATATTCTTTCCTCCATTATTCTTCACTCCTCCTAGTTCTCCCTTCAAGGTTCAGCTCAGGTGTTTTCTTCTCCAGGAAACTTTCCTAAATTTCCCTTCCATTCGATGCACACTTCTATCATGTCACTGAAATAGTCTTTTGGAGGCTTCTGTATATTATATCTGACTCCATGAGGTCGTTGAAATTAAATATTATTTCTTTTTTATCTTTGAATCTCAGCCCCTTGCCCAGTGCCCGACTGGTAGTTTAAGCTCACTAGCATACGTTGAACTGATCTGAAGAGTGGGAATGGAGACAGAAACATCAAGGGGGTTGAACGTTCCAGGAGCCACTAGTGTCTTTTGCATCCCTTAGGAAAGGCTCCTTGTATGGAAATTTTGTTCAAATTATCTTCATATTGCATCACAGAAGAATACTATTAATGTATTTTTTAACTTTCTAAAGTTCAAAATTGTTATAGAAAACACAATTGGAGGGTTCTAATAAATAATTGAATCTGTCTCACTTTCCTTAGGAGTCATAAGGAAACAGATACAAGTCATACAATCAGAGGGGTCCCATGGGCCTCAGGGCTGAAATGGGAGTTTCTTATTATCACCAGAAAAGCACCAAATCTGAGATTCCTGATCCTATCTCAGAGGAGATCTCACAAAGTCTGCTAGCTAACTCAGGTGGTGGTCACAGGCCCCACAGGAGACAGTGAACTTGCTCACACACTTAGCACATTTGTACAACAACCAGCATCTGAGAAAGCCATTGCACACAGATTCTGTATAACAAAGGAGCTCATACAGAGTCGTCACCACTGAAAGCACCCAGAGCTGAAGCTAGGTGACAATAAACAATTAACTTTAAAGTTACAACCTCAAGGGAAAAAAAACAAGAAATTTTAAAACTCAATTTCATACAAACTAATTAGAAAACATAGTCTACCCAAATGAAAAGGAAATGGAAAACCAATATTGGCAATATGAAAACACAGGGCTCTCTAACACCCCCCAAAGATCACACGAACTCTCCAACAGTGGGTCCAAACCAAGATGAAATCTTTGAAATACCAGATAAATAATTTAAAAGTTTGATTATTAAATTATTCAAGGAGAAACAAAAGAAATGTGAAAATCAACATAAAGATATTCTAAAAGCAATTCAGGATATGAATGAAAAAGTTTCTAAAGAGATAGTTATTTTAAAGAAAAACCAATCCAAACTTCTGGAAATGAAAGACACATTTAGAAAACTACAAAATGCAGTGCAAAGTTTTAACAATAAAGTAGACCAAGTGAAAGAAAGAATTTCAGAGATCAAAGACCAAAGTTTTATATTAACCTTATTAGAAATAAAATAAAGAAAAATAATTAAAAGAAATGAATAAATTATCCAAGAAATACAGGATTATGTAAAATGGCCAAACCTAAGAATTATAGGTGTTCTTGAGGGAGAAGGAAAAACGTGTTTGGAAAACCTATTTGAGGGAATAATTGGGGAATACTTCACTGGCCTTGGTAGAGATTTAGACATCCAAATACAAGAAGCACAAAGAACTCCTGGAGACTCAGTGCAGAAAGGACATCACCAAGACCTATGTTCATTAGACCAACTAAAGTCAACCTAAAGGAAAAAATTTCTAAAAGCAGTGAGACAAAAACATCAGGTAACCTATAAATGAAAATCTATCAGACTAACAGTAGACTTCTCAGGAGAAAACTTCCAAACCAGAAGGAATTGGGTTTTTTTTTTTCTGTTTTTTTTTTTATTATACTTTAAGTTTTAGGGTACATGTGCACATTGTGCAGGTTAGTTACATATGTATACATGTGCCATGCTGGTGCGCTGCACCCACTAACTCGTCATCTAGCATTAGGTATATCTCCCATTGCTATCCCTCCCCCCTCCCCACACCCCACCACAGTCCCCAGAGTGTGATATTCCCCTTCCTGTGTCCATGTGATCTCATTGTTCAATTCCCACCTATGAGTGAGAATATGCGGTGTTTGGTTTTTTTGTTCTTGCGATAGTTTACTGAGAATGATGATTTCCAATTTCATCCATGTCCCATGTCCCTACAAAGGACATGAACTCATCATTTTTTATGGCTGCATAGTATTCCATGTTGTATATGTGCCACATTATTTAATCCAGTCTATCATTGTTGGACATTTGGGTTGGTTCCAAGTCTTTGCTATTGTGAATAATGCTGCAATAAACATACGTGTACATGTGTCTTTATAGCAGCAAGATTTATAGTCCTTTGGGTATATACCCAGTAATGGGATGGCTGGGTCAAATGGTATTTCTAGTTCTAGATCCCTGAGGAATCGCCACACTGACTTCCACAATGGTTGAACTAGTTTACAGTCCCACCAACAGTGTAAAAGTGTTCCTATTTCTCCACATCCTCTCCAGCACCTGTTGCTTCCTGACTTTTTAATGATTGCCATTCTAACTGGTGTGAGATGGTATCTCATTGTGGTTTTGATTTGCATTTCTCTGATGGCCAGTGATGATGAGCATTTTTTCATGTGTTTTTTGGCTGCATAAATGTCTTCTTTTGAGAAGTGTCTGTTCATGTCCTTCGCCCACTTTTTGATGGGGTTGTTTGTTTTTTTCTTGGAAATTTGTTTGAGTTCATTGTAGATTCTGGATATTAGCCCTTTGTCAGATGAGTAGGTTGCGAAAATTTTCTCCCATTTTGTAGGTTGCCTGTTCACTCTGATGGTAGTTTCTTTTGCTGTGCAGAAGCTCTTTAGTTTAATTAGATCCCATTTGTCAATTTTGCCTTTTGTTGCCATTGCTGTTGGTGTTTTGGACATGAAGTCCTTGCCCATGCCTATGTCCTGAATGGTGATGCCTAGGTTTTCTTCTAGGGTTTTTATGGTTTTAGGTCTAACATTTAAGTCTTTAATCCATCTTGAATTGATTTTTGTATAAGGTATAAGGAAGGGATCCAGTTTCAGCTTTCTACATACGGCTAGCCAGTTTTCCCAGCACCATTTATTAAATAGGGAATCCCTTCCCCATTGCTTGTTTTTCTCAGGTTTGTCAAAGATCAGATAGTTGTAGATATGCGGTGTTATTTCTGAGGGCTCTGTTCTGTTCCATTGATCTATATCTCTGTTTTGGTACCAGTACCATGGTGTTTTGGTTACTGTAGCCTTGTAGTACAGTTTGAAGTCAGGTAGTGTGATGCCTCCAGCTTTGTTCTTTCGGCTTAGGATTGCCTTGACAATGCAGGCTCTTTTTTGGTTCCATATGAACTTTAAAGTAGTTTTTTCCAATTCTGTGAAGAAAGTCATTGGTAGCTTGATGGGGACGGCATTGAATCTGTAAACTACCTTGGGCAGTATGGCCATTCTCACGATATTGATTCTTCCTACCCATGAGCATGGAATGTTCTTCCATTTGTTTGTATCCTCTTTTATTTCCTTGAGCAGCGGTTTGTAGTTCTCCTTGAAGAGGTCCTTCACATCCCTTGTAAGTTGGATTCCTAGGTATTTTATTCTCTTTGAAGCAATTGTGAATGGGAGTTCACTCATGATTTGGCTCTCTGTTTGTCTGTTATTGGTGTATAAGAATGCTTGTGATTTTTGTACATTGATTTTGTATCCTGAGACTTTGCTGAAGTTGCTTATCAGCTTAAGGAGATTTTGGGTTGAGACAATGGGGTTTTCTAGATATACAATCATGTCGTCTGCAAACAGGGACAATTTGACTTCCTCTTTTCCTAATTGAATACCCTTTATTTCCTTCTCCTGCCTAATTGCCCTGGCCAGAACTTCCAACACTATGTTGAATAGGAGTGGTGAGAGAGGGCATCCCTGTCTTGTGCCAGTTTTCAAAGGGAATGCTTCCAGTTTTTGCCTATTCAGTATGATATTGGCTGTGGGTTTGTCATAGATAGCTCTTATTATTTTGAAATACGTCCCATCAATACCTAATTTATTGAGAGTTTTTAGCATGAAGGGTTGTTGAATTTTGTCAAAGGCTTTTTCTGCATCTATTGAGATAATCATGTGGTTTTTGTCTTTGGCTCTGTTTATATGCTGGATTACATTTATTGATTTGCGTATATTGAACCAGCCTTGCATCCCAGGGATGAAGCCCACTTGATCATGGTGGATAAGCTTTTTGATGTGCTGCTGGATTCATTTTGCCAGTATTTTATTGAGGATTTTTGCATCAATGTTCATCAAGGATATTGGTCTAAAATTCCCTTTTTTGGTTGTGTCTCTGCCTGGCTTTGGTATCAGAATGATGCTGGCCTCATAAAATGAGTTAGGGAGGATTCCCTCTTTTTCTATTGATTGGAATAGTTTCAGAAGGAATGGTACCAGTTCCTCCTTGTACCTCTGATAGAATTCGGCTGTGAATCCATCTGGTCCTGGACTCTTTTTGGTTGGTAAACTATTGATTATTGCCACAATTTCAGCTCCTGTTATTGGTCTATTCAGAGATTCAACTTCTTCCTGGTTTAGTCTTGGGAGAGTGTATGTGTCAAGGAATTTATCCATTTCTTCTAGATTTTCTAGTTTATTTGCGTAGAGGTGTTTGTAGTATTCTCTGATGGTAGTTTGTATTTCTGTGGGATCGGTGGTGATATCCCCTTTATCATTTTTTATTGCGTCTATTTGATTCTTCTCTCTTTTTTTCTTTATTAGTCTTGCTAACGGTCTATCAATTTTGTTGATCCTTTCAAAAAACCAGCTCCTGGATTTATTAATTTTTTGAAGGGTTTTTTGTGTCTCTATTTCCTTCAGCTCTGCTCTGATTTTAGTTATTTCTTGCCTTCTGCTAGCTTTTGAATGTGTTTGCTCTTGCTTTTCTAGTTCTTTTAATTGTGATGTTAGGGTGTCAATTTTGGATCTTTCCTGCTTTCTCTTGTGGGCATTTAGTGCTATAAATTTCCCTCTACACACTGCTTTGAATGCTTCCCAGAGATTCTGGTATGTTGTGTCTTTGTTCTCGTTGGTTTCAAAGAACATCTTTATTTCTGCCTTCATTTCGTTATGTATCCAGTAGTCATTCAGGAGCAGGTTGTTCAGTTTCCATGTAGTTGAGCGGTTTTGAGTGAGATTCTTAATCCTGAGTTCTAGTTTGATTGCACTGTGGTCTGAGAGATAGTTCATTATAATTTCTGTTCTTTTACATTTGCTGAGGAGAGCTTTACTTCCAAGTATGAGGTCAATTTTGGAATAGGTGTGGTGTGGTGCTGAAAAAAATGTATATTCTGTTGATTTGGGGTGCAGAGTTCTGTAGATGTCTATTAGGTCCGCTTGGTGCAGAGCTGAGTTCAATTCCTGGGTATCCTTGTTGACTTTCTGTCTTGTTGTTCTGTCTAATGTTGACAGTGGGGTGTTAAACTCGCCCATTATTAATGTGTGGGAGTCTAAGTCTCTTTGTAGGTCACTCAGGACTTTCTTTATGAATCTGGGTGCTCCTGTATTGAGTGCATATATATTTAGGATAGTTAGCTCTTCTTGTTGAATTGATCCCTTTACCATTATGTAATGGCCTTCTTTGTCTCTTTTGATCTTTGTTGGTTTAAAGTCTGTTTTATCAGAGACTAGGATTGCAACCCCTGCCTTTTTTTGTTTTCCATTTGCTTGGTAGATCTTCCTCCATCCTTTTATTTTGAGCCTATGTGTGTCTCTGCACGTGAGATGGGTTTCCTGAATACAGCACACTGATGGGTCTTGACTCTTTATCCAATTTGCCAGTCTGTGTCTTTTAATTGGAGCATTTAGTCCATTTACATTTAAAGTTAATATTGTTATGTGTGAATTTGATCTTGTCATTATGATGTTAGCTGGTTATTTTGCTCGTTAGTTGATGCAGTTTCTTCCTAGTCTCGATGGTCTTTACATTTTGGCATGATTTTGCAGCGGCTGGTACCGGTTGTTCCTTTCCATGTTTAGCGCTTCCTTCAGGAGGTCTTTT
Organism: Homo sapiens; assembly: GCF_000001405.40. Lineage (NCBI taxonomy): Eukaryota > Metazoa > Chordata > Mammalia > Primates > Hominidae > Homo > Homo sapiens. The sequence continues at coordinate 35,175,666 of NC_000008.11, forward strand.
AGGGCAGGCCTGGTGGTGACAAAATCTCTCAGCATTTGCTTGTCTGTAAAGGATTTTATTTCTCCTTCACTTATGAAGCTTAGTTTGGCTGGATATGAAATTCTGGGTTGAAAATTCTTTTCTTTAAGAATGTTGAATATTGGCCCCCACTCTCTTCTGGCTTGTAGGGTTTCTGCCAAGAGATCCGCTGTTAGTCTGATGGGCTTCCCTTTGAGGGTAACCCGACCTTTCTCTCTGGCTGCCCTTAACATTTTTTCCTTCATTTCAACTTTGGTGAATCTGACAATTATGTGTCTTGGAGTTGCTCTTCTCGAGGAGTATCTTTGTGGTGTTCTCTGTATTTCCTGAATCTGAATGTTGGCCTGCCTTGCTAGATTGGGGAAGTTCTCCTGGATAATATCCTGCAGAGTGTTTTCCAACTTGGTTCCATTCTCCCCATCACTTTCAGGTACACCAATCAGACATAGATTTGGTCTTTTCACATAGTCCCATATTTCTTGGAGGCTTTGCTCATTTCTTTTTATTCTTTTTTCTCTAAACTTCCCTTCTCGCTTCATTTCATTCATTTCATCTTCCATTGCTGATACCCTTTCTTCCAGTTGATCGCATCGGCTCCTGAGGCTTCTGCATTCTTCACGTAGTTCTCGAGCCTTGGTTTTCAGCTCCATCAGCTCCTTTAAGCACTTCTCTGTATTGGTTATTCTAGTTATACATTCTTCTAAATTTTTTTCAAAGTTTTCAACTTCTTTGCCTTTGGTTTGAATGTCCTCCTGTAGCTCAGAGTAATTTGATCGTCTGAAGCCTTCTTCTCTCAGCTCGTCAAAGTCATTCTCCATCCAGCTTTGTTCCGTTGCTGGTGAGGAACTGCGTTCCTTTGGAGGAGGAGAGGTGCCCTGAGTTTTAGAGTTTCCACTTTTTCTGTTCTGTTTTTTCCCCATCTTTGTGGTTTTATCTACTTTTGGTCTTTGATGATGGTGATGTACAGATGGGTTTTTGGTGTGGATGTCCTTTCTGTTTGTTAGTTTTCCTTCTAACAGACAGGACCCTCAGCTGCAGGTCTGTTGGAATACCCTGCCGTGTGAGGTGTCAGTGTGCCCCTGCTGGGGGGTGCCTCCCAGTTATGCTGCTCGGGGTTCAGGGGTCAGGGACCCACTTGAGGAGGCAGTCTGCCCATTCTCAGATCTCCAGCTGCGTGCTGGGAGAACCACTGCTCTCTTCAAAGCTGTCAGACATGGACATTTAAGTCTGCAGAGGTTACTGCTGTCTTTTTGTTTGTCTGTGCCCTGCCCCCAGAGGTGGAGCCTACAGAGGCAGGCAGGCCTCCTTGAGCTGTGGTGGGCTCCACCCAGTTCGAGTTTCCCGGCTGCTTTGTTTACCTAAGCAAGCCTGGGCAATGGCGGGCGCCCCTCCCCCAGCCTCGTTGCCGCCTTGCAGTTTGATCTCAGACTGCTGTGCTAGCAATCAGCGAGACTCTGTGGGCATAGGACCCTCTTAGCCATGTGCGGGATATAATCTCGTGGTGCGCCGTTTTTTAAGCCAGTCCGAAAAGCACAATATTTGGGTGGGAGTGACCTGATTTTCCAGGTGCATCCGTCACCCCTTTCTTTGACTCGGAAAGGGAACTCCCTGACCCCTTGCACTTCCCAAGTGAGGCAATGCCTCGCCCTGCTTCGGCTCGCGCACGGTGCGCGCACCCACTAACCCGCGCCCACTGTCTGGCACTCCCTAGTGAGATGAACCCGGTACCTCAGATGGAAATGCAGAAATCCCCTGTCTTCTGTGTTGCTCACGCTGGGAGCTGTAGACCGGAGCTGTTCCTATTCGGCCATCTTGGCTGCTCCCCGGAATTGAGGTCTTTTCTTTAGTGTCTTTAAACACAGTAATTGTCAGCCAATAATTTTATATTCAGAAAAACTAAGTTTCTATATATAAAATTTAGAAAGGAGAAATAAAATATTTCTCAGACAAGCAAATCCTGGGAGAACTTGTCAGTGTTAGACTAGCTTTAAAAGAAATGCTAAAAAGAGTTCTAAATATTAAAACAGGCTGGGCGCGGTGGCTCATGCCTGTAATTCCAGCACTTTGGGAGGCAGAGGTGGGCAGATCATGAGGTCAGGAGATTGAGACCATCCTGGCTAATACAGTGAAACCCTGCCTCTACTAAAAATACAAAAAATTAGCCAGGCGTGGTGGTGGGCACCTGTAGACCCAGCTACTTGGGAGGCTGAGGCAGAAGAATGGCGTGAACCCGGGAGGCAGAGCTTGCAGTGAGCCGAGATTGTGCCACTGCACTCTAGCCCAGGCAACAGAGCGAAACTCCGTCTCAAAAAAAAAAAAAAAAAAATTAAAACAAAAGGTTGATACACACCAGATTGGAAACTCCTGAAAGCATAAAATGCATAGGGCTTGTAAAACAATAACACAATGAAGAAAATAAATTCACTAGGTAATAATCAACTGAATGATTGAAACAGTACCCCACATCTCAACATTAAAGTTAAATGTAGATTGGTCTAAATTCTCTACTTAAAAGATACAAATTGGCAGCTTGAATTTAAAAAGTCACAAACCAAATATCTACTGTCTTCAGGAGACACACTTAACACATATTCTTATAGACTCAAAGTAAAGCAGTGGAAAAAGATATTTCCTGCAAATGGAAACCAAAAGCAAGCAGGACTAGCTGTTCTTACATCCTATAAAAAAGACTTTAAGTCAACAACAGTAAAATAGACAAAGAAGGTCGTTACATAATGATAAAAGGATCAACACACACATAACAATCCTAAATATGTATGTACCTTATTTCAGAGCTCCTAGGTTCATAAATCATTTAATAATAAGAAGAAAAGAGATATATAGCAACGTTCCAACTGAGAACACTAGACAGATCATCAAGGCAGACCATCAACATAGAAACATCGGATGAAAACTGTGCTTTACTAAAAGTGGATGTAACAGATACTTACAGACCATTCACCCCAAGAACTGAAGAATATATATTATTTTCATCAGCATATGGAACATTTTTCAATTTAGACCATATGACAGGCCACTAAACAAGTCTCAGAAATTGAAATTATATCAAGTTTCTTCTCAGACCACAGTGGAATAAAACTAGAAACAAATTCCAAAAAGAGCCCTCAAAACTATACAAATACTTGGAAACTAAAGAATTGGCCGCGGTGGCTCACACCTGTAATCCCAGCACTTTGGGAGGCCGAGGCAGGCGGATCACGAGGTCAGGAGATCGAGACCATCCTGGCTAACACGGTGAAACCCCGTCTTTACTAAAAATACAAAAAATTACCCGGGCGTGGTGGTGGGTGCCTGTAATCCCAGCTACTCGGGAGGCTGAGGCAGGAGAATGGCATGAACCCAAGAGGCGGAGCTTGCAGTGAGCCGGGATAGCGCCACTGCAGTCCAGCTTGGGCGAAAGAGTGAGACTCCGTCTCAAAAAAAAAAAAAAAAAAAAAAAAAAGAATTGGCTCCTGAATAATTTATGGGTTAACAATAAAATTAGGATGGAAATTTAAAACTTTTTCAAAATGAATGATAACAGTTACACAAGTTCTTAAAACCTCTGGAATACAGCAAAAGCAGTACTAAGAGGAAAGTTTATAGTGTTAAATGCCTACCACATAAAGTCTGAAAGTTTACAAATTGACTACCTAATGTTACACCTCAAAGAACTAGAGAAACAAGAACAGACCAAACCACAAACTAGCAGAAGAAAAGAAATAACAAAGATCAGAGCAGAACTAAATGCAACTGTAACAAAAAAGAAAAAAAAAAAAGAAAAGAAAAAGTCAATGAAACAAAAAGCAAAAAGCTGGTTCTTTAAATATATAAATAAATAAAATTGACATACCACTACCTAGATTAACCAAGAAAAGAGAGAAGTTTCAAATAAACTGAATTAGAAAAATAATGGAGACATTATAGCTGATACCACAGAAATACAAAAGATCATTTAAGACTGCTATGAACAACTCTATGTACACAAACTAGGAATTCCAGAGGAAATGGATAAACTCCTGGAAACAAATCACTCCCTAGCTTGAATCAGGAAGAAACAGAAATCCTGAACAGAACAATAACAAGCAGTAAGATTGAACTGATAATAAGATAAATCTGCCAACAACAACAAAAAAGCCCAGAGATAGATGGATTTACACCCCAATTCTACCAGATATTCAAAGGAGGATTGGTACCAATTCTACCGAAACTATTACAAAAGATTATGAAGAAGGGACTCCTCCCTAATTCCTTCTACAAAGCCATTACACCTTGATACCAAAGTGAGGAAAGAACATAGACAAAAAAGAAAACTACAAATCAGTATCTCTGATTAATATAGATGAAAAATCCTCAACAAAATACTAGCAACTGGAATCCAACAGTACATCAAAAAATAATTTAGTGTGATCAACTGGATTTTACACCAGGGATGCAGGGATGGTTCAATGTAAGGAAGTCAATAAATGTAATTCATCACATATACAGAATGAAAGACAAAAACCATATGATCATCTCAATGGATGCAGAAAAGACATTTGATAAAATCCAGGATCTCTTTGTGATAAAGTTACTCAATAAGCTAGGCATAGAACAAACATACACAACTCAAAATAATACAAGCCATATATGAAAAACCCACAGCCAACCTTATAATGAACAAGGAAAAGTTTAAAACATTCCCCCTAAGAATTTGAAAAAGACAAGGATGCCCACTTTCACTAGTCCAACATAGTACTGGAAGTCCTAGTCAGAGCAATCAGGAAAAAGAAAGAAATAAGAGGCATCCAAATTGGAAAAGAGGAAGACAAACTAACTCCATTTGCTGATGATATGATCTTAAACCTAGGAAATGCTAAAGGTTCCTCCAAAAGACTCCTAGATCTGATAAATTAATTCAGTAAACTATCAGATTATAAAATCAGTGTATACAAATCAGTAGCACTGCTATAAACCAACAATAATCATGCTGAGAATCAAATCAAGAACTCAATCCCTTTTACAATAGCTACACTAAAAATTCTTAGGAATATACTTAATCAAGGAGGGGAAAGAGCTCTACAAGGAGAACTACAAAACAGTGCTGAAATAAATCATAAGTGACACAAACAAATGGAAGTACATCCCACGTTCATGGATTGGAATAATCAATATTGTGAAAATGGCCATACTGCCCAAAGCACTCTACAGATTCAGTGCAATTCCCATCAAAATACCAATATCATTTTTCATAGAATTAAAAAAAGTCTAAAATTCATATGGAACCAAAAAAGAGCCAGAATTGCCAAAGCAATCCTAAGCAAAGGAACAAATCTGGAGGCATCATATTACCTGACTTCAAATTATAATACTAGGATATAGTAACCAAAAGAGCATGGCGCTGGCATAAAAGTAGACACATATTCCAATGCAACAGAATAGAGAGCCCAGAAATAAACCCAAACACTTACAACCAATTGATCTTTGACAAAGCTTGCAAAAACATAAACTGGGGGAAAAAATGCCCTATTCAGTAAACAGTGCTGGGAAAATCGGATAGTCACACACAGAACAATGAAACTGAATACCTATTTCTCACTATATACAAAAATTAACTCAAGATGTATTAAAGACTTAAATCTGAGACCTGAAAATGTAAAAAATATAGAAGAAACTCTTCTGGCATTGGCTTAGGCAAAAAAATTATCACTAAGACTCCAAAAGTAAAACAAAACTAAAAATAAATAATTGGAACCTAATTAAATTAAAAATCTCTGCAAAACAAAAGAAATAATCATCAGACTAATCAAACAACCTACAGAAGGAGAGAAAATATTTGCAAATTATGCTTTTGACAAGACTAATATCCAGAATCTGCAAATAAACAAAATCAGCCAGAAAAAAAGACAAATAACTCCATTAAAAAGTGGGCAAAGGACATGAACATACATTTCTCAAAAGAAGATATACAAGTGTCCAAGAAACATGAAAAAAACTCCATATCTAATCATCAGGGAAATGCAAATTAATACCACAATGAGATACCACTTTACTCCACCCAGAATGACCATTATTAAAATGCCAAAAAAATAGATACTTGTGTGGATGTTATGAAAAATGAATGCATATACACTGTTGGTGGGAATGTAAATTAGTACAACCTCCATGAAAAACAATATGAGGATTTCTCAAAGAACTAAAAGTAGATCTACCATTAGATCCAACAACCCCACTGCTGGGTACCTACCCAAAGAAAAATAAATCACTAGATCAAAAAGACACTTGCACACATGAACACATATGTTTATTGTAATGTAATTCACAATTGCAAAGATATGGAACCAATTTAAGTGTCTGTGTATCAGCCAATGAGTGGATAAAGAAAATATGGTGTATATACACTATGAAATACTGCTTGGACATTTAAAAATGAATTAATGTCTTTCACAGCAACTTGGATGGAACTGGAGGCCATTATTCTATGTGAAGTAACTTGAGAATCAAAAACCAGATACTACATGTTCTCGCTAATAAGCAGGAGCTAAGCTTATGGGGACACAAAGGCATACAGAGTGGTATAATGGACATTGCAGACTCAGAATGGGGGAGGAAGGAAGGGGTGTGAGGGATGAAAAACTACCTATTGGGTACACTAGGTGATGAGTGCATTAAATCCTAGTCTTCACCACAATACACTTCATCCATATAACCAAAAACCACTGGTACCCCTAAAGCTATTGACATTCAATTGCTTAAAAAAATTCAAGAACGAAAATAAATTTTAAAAGAAGGAAGCAACAAATACAGGAAAGCTGAAAGATGGTAGGATACAAAACTGAAGGGTGTGTTGTCCTGGCCCAGGAGAAAAGAGAACAAGCCAAAAAGGTTAAGCGTAAGCAACAGAATCCAGGTTAATTTCCTAGTAGAACTGACAGTATTTGAGACTTGTTTGAGCATGCCAGACTTCAAATGGCCACAGGCTGAATGGGTAGTGATGCTGGCTGCCTTGCAGTGCTTTCCAGAGATAGGCAGCACATCCAGGCCTGCTCCATGGCAGGTCAGAAATGAGGAAGCCCAAAATGCCGGCTGCTCCTGTGAATAATACAAACACTGATCAGCAGATCACAAATTTATTTAAGGCCAGCAGGAAACGAAGTAGGCGTGAAGACCCGACTAATACTGTCTGATCAGCTCAGAAGGCAGGAAGGCAATGGGATGCAGTAGATAGTTCTCCAAAATGAGTGAACCGTTATTTGCATCTCATCGGGGAATAGGAGATGTAGCCAACATGAAATGACAGGCAGGCATCTGTTTCACCATCATGCTGTGACACCCCTAGGAGCTTAGACCCAGCCTCACTGCTCTAATGATATTAGAATGAGATCTTCTGCAATGTGTTGCTTCTGCAAATGATGGTACGGATGTTTCCCGTTGAGCTTAAAGAAAAACAGTCAAAGAATTGCATCATCTTCCTTAGTTTCATCATCGGTAAATAGGATTCATGATCTTGGACTAAGGGGCTTTGGAGTTCTTCAGGTCAAATCCTGTTCATGAGAGCAAGGTATGTGTCTTGCTTGCCCTGAGCAATTGAGAGATGCTCCTGAACAGAGGAGAACAATGAATTGTGGTTCCCAACTGCACAGTGAATGTTTCCTATTAGCTCACTATCTTTCAGAGTAAATCAACTTAACTCTCCATTACAATAGATGGCAATAGTGCATTACTTGTCAGCAACATGCTGCAATAATAAGGCTCTTTCAGACAGCCTCTCAAATACAGATAGTGATGTCTGTGAGGCAATAGAATGGCTTTTAAAATGAATATGAGCAGTAGCTTCCTAATAAGGCCAGATCCAGTATTTCAACAAGAAGGTCCCTGAATTTTCTTGCATGGCAAGAAATTTATTGAAAAGAGCATGATGAGAAGTCAATACTTAATTGAAAACTCTGAAGAAATTGAGCCCCTATTAATTCAGTGAAATATAGCCTCCAAAATTTTTGAAGCTTACAGAAACTACAAATTGTCTGGTGGGCTCTGGAACCAGCGAGAATGCCTCAATTCAAAGCCTGTCTCTGCAGATTACCAGCAGTGGCATTGTAGGTGGGTTATTTAACCAACCACCTCTCAAATCTTCATACGTGTAATGGAAGCAATATTAGTGCTTTCTATATGGGGTTGTAGGTTAAATGAAACAATGTCTGTAACATTCTTATAACAATGTCTGAACACAAGCATCTAATATATATTATTTGTTACTATCTTATGCCCAATATTTTAAGTTTCTAACATTGAAAGGCCACATACTTCATTTAATTTAGGGGACCCATGGGAATGTCTGCTCCTTATCTGTGCCCTTCCCCTCATGCCAACATAGATTTGAATTCTCAGAAAATATTCCAGGGGGATTGAATGTTGAGCTTCCCAAAGAAAGAAATAAAGAGACCAAAGTCAGCCTGTCCCCACCGGGGTTGGCATATGACAAAGATCTGAAGTGGCTCTGAGGCATCATGGAGAACAGTTGAAAATCACATTGTCAGCTCGAAATGCATCAAAGCTATTTGCTGGCCTGAACTACCCTAGGAAGAATTCCCATTCAGTTCAATCCGTGCAAAATCATGCTTGGCCCTGGCAGGACGGGGACTAAGTTACCACCCCATATGGCACCAAGTTTGTGATAATCCCTCTATGAGAAAGTAATAATGACAGTAATAACCCCTCTTCACTCAAAAAAAACTACTCAGTAAGGGACATCTGTCACCATTATCATCACTGAGACAAATTCTGATATTACTCTGTGCTGTGGAAAACCTGACAAAGCTCCTCACTCCATAGCTAATAAGGAGGATATCTTGCCTAAGCTGTAAACATTAAAGAAGTCCACCAATATTAACAAACACCCCTGCCCCGGTCTCTGTTGGTGTGTTGCTAAACACAGAGAAAGAACTGATACATCCACTTAAAGGTATTTTTCTTGTGTTTAATTCCACTTCATTAGTCAGAATTTCTCCTGTAACTTAGTGTAATCTAGATTCAGTGACACTCATTTTTTGTTTGGATGGTTGATTAACGTGTCCCTTCCACCAAAAAGGACTCTGCAACCTTCAAGAGGAAGTTCCAACTGTGAGAACTATGACCAGCCCAGCCTTTCCTCATTCAGTGTTGACATTGAGCCCCTCCTGTCACACACATCCCATGAGTTTTAAATAATTTAGCTTCTTGGTGATCAGGGGTATACAGTGCTCCTGGGACTATGGTTTGTAAAACATATACAGTTGCTTTCAGCTCTCTCATGAAATTAAGGCCATGTCAAAGTGCAGGCTATTTCTGCACAGAAAGAAGCAGGCTAATGGCAGAAGGGGGCAGGTTACCAAACCCTTCAGAATTTGACAAAAGTCAAAACAACATGGAGCCTTTTTTCTCATGATTTCTTAGCAGGTCTCAAAATTCTGATTAGCTGGGAGGAAACAAAATTTCCATGCCTGATTACTCCAAAGAAATGAGCAACTCCAAGTCAACTAAAATGTCTTCAGTCAAGGCAAACACACTTCACAATGTAAATGGTAAGTGCCAACCCCCTGCCTCTAGTTGGTAGAACTTGGTGACCATCACTACTTTGACACTCATATGGTTTTCCTCATATCCTTATCATTCTTGCAAGAAATATTGGACCAATGGTAAATGGTTCTGAATCATAAACCAGCCAAAAAATTTTCAAATTAGATCTTTCTGTTTGCCACTAAAGCCATTAACATGCACAAACCCAATTTCATAATGATCTGCCTGATACATCAATAATATATTATATATTACATATGTCCTAAATAAGTCTAAAGGTAAATGTTTTAAAGGCCTGAAAATAATAACTGAGACTTAGATGAATGGATAGTGTTGGTTGACTAGTAAGAGACCGAGTTCCATACTCTGTTCTGTCTGCTTGTGCTCAGCTGAGCACTTCCACCCATCCCTCAAATTACCTGTCCTCTGTAAGCCTGCATTTCTCATTTCTAAAATGAGAATAATATTTTCAACTCATAGAATTTTCATGATTAAATGAGCTGATCCGCAGGTGACACTTATCCCAATGCCTACAATGCAATAAGCCCTTACTGAGAATTATCCATGATGATGTTGATGATTACTATTTTACTTTGCATTTTATTAAGTTTTTCAATCTATGTAAAAACACTGGATTTTCTTTCCCATTTCACTTCTCTTTTTCCTCATCTGTAAAAGAAGAGGAGTGTTTGAGAGATGAGACAATAGTGGCAAGAGCAACTTTCCATTGCCTCAAAAATGCTCCACTCGATAATTTAATGTTAAGTGAAAGAAACCAGGCTCACAAAGACAAACATCACATGTTCTCACTTATTTGTGGGATCTAAAAATCAAAACAACTGAACTCATGGAGATAGAGAGTAGAACGATGGTTACCAGAGACTGGGAGTTCCCATAGAAGGTGAAAAATAGAGAGATGAGGTGAGAACCTTGTGGAAAGGAGTAGAAAAGGAGAAGGGCAGTCTCAACTGGGGGCAGAAGGAAGAGGAGTCAGGTGCACAGAGCTACCTTACTGTGAGCCTGTGGGAGCTGAACTTGTCACTGATTGAATGGAAACCCAATGGAAATGATAAAAGATGACATTTACAGCATTTCCTGGGCACAGAGTCTATTCCTAATTGGCTTCCAAGAAGAGCAGATTCTTTGGGCAATGAAACAATACAGTCCTTTTTGGATATTAAGGACAGAAAGGAAGAGTTACATAAGCTGTCTTAGCTGATTATCATCATCACTCTCTGAGCTAGATAACATTATTATCCACATTTAATAGATTAGACAGTGGCTGGTTCCTCACCTTTTTAGGGTCACACTCATTTTTGAGACTTGAATGAAAGGGCTGGTCTCTTCCCAAGCAAAGTTCTCATACATGTAAAATGTTGCATACAATTTCTGGGAGTTGCCCATTATATGAGGCCCATTCATAAAATCATTTTAAGATTAATGCAAAGAACCAACATTTCTCCCCAAAGTACAGAGTGAGCTCCCTTTGTACATGGACTGGGTCTTGCTTGTTCATTGTGCTGCCCCTACTGTCAGATAGATGTGTGAGAGGTGGTTTTTGGTAGAAACATAAAGAAATAAACTAATATCTCCTCTGGCCATGTGTTTTACAAACATTATCTTAGCTGATCTTTTCAAGACCTTATAAAAAAGATATTATGAGCTCCATTTTACAGATGAAGAAATAGATATAGAAGGATTATGTGTCTTTTCCAAGGTCACAGAGGTTTTAAATTATAAACTCAGAATTTGAACCCAGGTCTATGTTCTCACTCCTTTAGTGTCTTAGTCAGTGCGGGTTGCCATAACAAAACACGACAGACTGGGTGGCTAAAACTACAGGGATGTATTTCCCATAGTTCTAGAGACCAAAAATTCAAGATCAAAGTGCTGACTGATTCAGTCCCTGGTGAGGGCTCTCTTCCTGGCTTGCAGAGAGCCACCTTCTTGCAGTGTCCTCACATGCTGCAGAGAGAGAGCTAACTCTGGTGTCTCTTTCTCTTTTTATAAGAACATCAGCCTTATTGGATCAGGACCCTTCCCTAATGACCTCATTTAACCTTTATCACTCCCTCACAGGCCCTATCTCTACAAATATAGTCACACGGGGGTTGAGGCTTCAACATATGATTTTTGGGGTGACTCAAATCTTCAGTCCATAACATGCACCATCTGCATTTAGAGGAAGGTAGTGAGATAGAAATAATTAGGTCTCTCGTTGCAGCATCATATCCAAGTTTGTACATTTTTTATGTTGTTCAACTGCTGAGAGGCATTTTGTCTGGGTAATTTTTGCAAGCTCAAATGGCTGATTTCCCATAGAAAGAAACCCCATGCTAAGTTAGTGACATTTTCTGGAACTGCAAGAGTGATTTCCTTGCATTCTGCTAACATGTGGCTTCTATAGAATGGATCTCCTCACATACCGCTAATCTTATGTCAATATCAATATCCCATAGGAGTTACAATATCTAGGTCTGATAGGACAAGTGAAGTCTTGCATTTCTATTCCCACTGGAATGACTAGCTTTCACAGGCTAGTGGTTCAGAGTCTATGCTCATAGAACTTTAAAGTAACTTTTGATTGGAAGAAGAGCAAGCTAAATCAGAGGCAGTAAGTGGAAGAAGCTGGACGCAAACCTATCGTTTTATATTTACCCTTCCAACTTAATTCACCTAACTAGGTTTCAGTTGTCTAAGGAAAAGAAGACATTGTTTTCCTTTCCTCTTTTTACTTAATGTCCCCTGACATGTAATCTCAGCCATCATTAACATTCAAGAGTTTCCCTTCCTAAGTTCCACGGGCCACTTTTATCAGAACCATGGTGCCTCCTACAGTGAATTCCCAGATGGTCATCAGCCCAACTCCTTTTCCCATGGTTATTTTACTCTTCAGTGGTCAAGGGGACCCCCAAATAATCTCTATTTTGACCAACTTTTTAAAAACATAGAACATGTAAATGTATTTCTATCTTTATTATTTATTTTGCTCACATATTTTTATTATTTATCTCCTGGAAGAGGTACAAATTGATGAAGCAGTTTAGGATTTACATGATTTTGAATTAATGATGTATGAGGTGCTGTGTCTAATGTAAGACAGCTTATTTCACCATAAGGTTTTGTTAATAACGTAATCATGAAAGTTAATATTTATTTTTGTCCTTATTATATGTCAAAATTTTGCTAAGTACTTAAAACATGACTTATAACTTTAAATATTTATAACAGCTGGATAAAGTAGATGGTATTGTTAGTTCCATTATGCAGATGAGGAAATCAAGGTTAAAAGAGCTTTCAGGACTTGCCTAGTGACAGAGAGCAAGAGGTGGTAAAATCAGGATTTGGACCTAGGTGGGTCCTAACTCCAGAGTCTATACTTGTAACCACCATGTTCAGGTGATACACTGATCTAACATCTTCCTTGTCATACCTGTCTTCTTCCTTTTCTCTTTTTTTTTTTTTTTTTTTTGGAGACAGAGTCCCGCTCTGTCGCCCAGGCTGGAGTGCAATGGCACAATCTCGGCTCACTGCAATCTCTGCCTCTCAGGTTCAAGCGATTCTCCTGCCTCAGCCTCCTGAGTAGCTGGGATTACAGGTGTGCACCACCATGCCCGGCTAATTTTTGTATTTTTAGTAGAGACAGAGTTTCACCGTGCTGGTCAGGCTGGTCTGCAACTCCTGACCTCATGATCCGCCTGCCTCATCCTCCCAAAGTGCTGAGATTACAGGCGTGAACCACCGTGCCGGGCCTCTTCCATTTTTAAAAAATTATTTCTTTACATTGTAGAAGAGCTGGTGGTTTTGATTAAGGCATTCATTTATTGAATAGATATTTACTATGGCTCATGAGTGTGTAAAAGCAATCTCAACTGGTTGAGAAGTAAAAAGAAAGAAGAAAGTGGGTACATGAATAATTATTTTATGAACGTTCCCAGATTCTTTCTTTCTCCACAACTTATATGTTTAAGTATAATTTCTCTATCCCACCTTCTCCTATAGAGGCTCTATAGCTTTTTGTACTTAACAATCTCTATTTTAAACTATGCAGTGCTGTGTAAAATAGTGTATAAGATGTTTTAAAGACCACCTTGGGTAACTTTCCTGTAATGTTTGAATCTGAAATATTTCCCCCTAAACCCACAATTTCCCATACAGTCAAGCTGCTACATTGCCTCTCTGAGAGGCAGAAATTACTGTTGATTTGATTTCCTTTGTTTTCTTAAGCAACTATAAAATATTACTGATTTCTTTTTAATCCTACCACTTTTGCTACATCTCCCTCCTCATTTCAAACACGCTAGACAATTTTCCACAATAAGTACTTGCAGAAACATTAACTTGTAAAGAATAGGAAAAAGTTATGTGCTCCAAAATTTAAATCTGAATCCTTACCCTCTTTAAGAGTTTTCTAGCCAGGTTTAAGACAAGACAGCAATAACAAACAAAAATCAAAACAGCCAGGAATCAGTAGCTTGTCTTTTTTTGTGTGCTTATGTGTCTATTACTTGTAAAGCATCTATTATAAGGTTTTCTTTAAAGTTTCCCTTAAGAACCAAAGGCTGATGTTTTTTGAAAACTTTTCTGTGCACTAATAAGTCAATATGAGTAAGGGCAGATCTTGTGTTATGAAAATTTGTCATAGAAGTGACACTTATTTGGGAAAAGATGGATTTGAACTCTTGCTTTCCATATGTCAGAGTTACTTAAAATTAGAAGTGAACAAGTAGTTAATGATTAGAGCTTCTTCCCCTGAACCTGGATCATGACACAATTAAGTCAAGGGAATATCAAATAGGGATAATTTCTCTCTTCCAGAACAAGTAAAGTATTATAAGGAATTCTGCCACTTCTTTAAATAACTGAGTCCAATGATTGAAGAGCTTGAGTTTGATTATATCCTTATGACCAGAATTCCAGCTTTGTACCTACTGAAAATGCAACACCTGCTGATATTTTCTGCTTTGGCCGGAAGTTTTTCTCCGGGATTTTGTCTGTTTTTCAATGTCTGTTCTGGTTTTTAAAATATTCTACTTATACATGCCCAGAGTTAGTTTATGATTTAGGCATATGTTGACATAGCTTTGTTATGTTTGGGATACTTTAGGTCCACAAAGCTAAAGCATTCATCCCAGTTTATGTAAGATATATATTATTGAATGAAGGCTTGCACACTTTTGTGAACGAACAAAAAGGCTACTTTAGAAATTTCTGATATAAACACACATGCACATTCACATAGAGCTCACACACTCCCAACACAACCTAAACTTGAAATACAAACAAAATTCAGTGTAATAGAAAACTTTGGCCTCATTCATATTAAATGAGATTGAATTGCTTAAATTATAAAGGGCTAAAATATGCTTTTCAAATGAAGTGGTTTTTTTAATCTAAGATGTTTTCACTGGGTTTTACATACCTGAAAATATTTTCATATTGAGATAAATCACAGTACTTGACTAAATAATGAATTGAATATTGTGGGCACGATAGTTTATAAAGAATTTTAGACTTTAGATAATACCCAGGTGGATGGTTACAATTATGAAAAATAGCCGGGGAAATTCATCTGTCCTTACATTGTATAAAGCTTTCTTTATAATTCTGTGGGTATGTTTGAAGAGAACCATGAATGACTTGTGGTTAATAGAGAATACTTTAGATTAAAGCTCACATTCTAAGGCAGTCACAGACCTCATGGTTACCATTTCAGCATAATCTTTATGAGCACTGTAGAAACTTTCCACCCCATGAACTTCTGCCATTTCCATTATACAAATTCTAACCCTGACCCTTTTGTCCTTCCTATTGCCCCAGATGTGTTAACTCCCAGCTGCTGAGCATGGGGAGAAAAGTCAAGAAAATCTGTTTTCTTTTCACTTCTGTTTATTTATTTATTTTGGAGACAGGGTCTCACTCTGCCACCCAGGGTGTAGTGCACTGATGCAATTATAGCTCACTGCAGCCTCGATTTCCCAGGCTCAAGTAACCCTCTTTTCTCAGCCTCCAAGTAGCTGGGAGTAGAAGAACATACCACCAGGCTGAGTTAATTTTTTAAATTTTTTGTAGAGATAAGGTTTCACTATGTTACCCAGACTGGTCTCAAATTCCTGGGCTCAAGTGATCCTCCCGCCTTTGTTTCTCAAAGTTCTGGGATTACAGGTGTGAGCCACCCCACTTGGCTTAGGACATTTGTTTTCTGTTGTCTCCTAAATTATCTATCCAAACTCAACTAGACTACCTAGATAACTTTTGCCATTTTCTAACTCCTTCTTTAATATCCCTTAGCAGATGATTCCAAATTTCTTTTGTGGAGTTCACTGCTACCTCCAGATCTCTAACTTTCAAGGAGTGATTTTTATCTTCACCATGTAGAGAAATTCCAGTTCATCTAGCATTAATTCCTAATCTCATTTACCCTTCATCTGAAAACAAATGTTTCTCATGATCTTAGCATTCCCTTGTGTGTTACCCTATTCTCTTTTCCTTTCTGTCTTGGAGGATGTGTATTATTGGCACTGCAGTCTTTTGCATCTCGCAAAACTTTCTTCTTTTTCTTGCAGCTTTATTGAGGCATAGTTGACAAATTAAAAGTGGATATATTTATCATGTACGACATGGTGTTCTTCTGATATGTGTGTATACACACACACACATATATATATATATGTAGAGAGAGAGAGAGAGAGAGAGAGAAAGAGAGAAATGTTTAGCACAATCAAGCTAATTAACATACCTATTGCTTCACATAGTTATTTTTGTGTGCGTATGTTTGGTGAGAACATGTAAGACCCACTCTCTTAGCAAATATCAAGTATAGAATACAGTCTTATTAACTATAGTCACTATGCTGTACTTTAAATGAACATATTCACCCTGCCTAACTGAAACTTTATACCCTTTGACCAACATCTCTCCATCACCCCCAGCTCTCAGTCCCTGGCAGACACTATTCTACTCTCTACTTCCATGAGTTGGACTATATTAGATCCCACATATAGACGGGATTATGCATTGTTTGTCTTTCTGTGCCTAGCTTATTTCATTTAGCATAATTCTTTCCAGGTTTATCCATGTTGCTGCAAACAACTTGATTTCCTTCTTTTTTAAAGGCTGAGTAATATTCCATTGTGTATATGTGTGTGTGTGTATGTGCATGTGTGACATTTTCATTACTCATTTATTCATCAATGGGCATTTAGATTGATCCCATGTCTTGGCTATTGTGAATAATGCTGCAATTAACATGGGCATACGGATATCTCTTCAAGGTATTGATCACATTTTCTTCACATATATACTCAGAAATGGGATTGCTGAATCATATGGTAGTTCTATTTTCACTTTTTGAGGAACCTACATAATGTTTTCCATAATGGCTGTACTAATTTACATTCCCACTAACAGCGTAGAAGGGCTTCCTTTTCTTGACATTCTTTCAACTCTTATCTTTTGTCTTCCTGATAATAGCCATTGTAAAAGAAATGAAGTTATATCTCCTTGTGGTTCAATTTGCATTTTCCTGATGACTGGTGGTGCTGAATATCTTTTCACCTACCAATTGGCATTTGTATGTTTTCTTTGAAGAAATACCTATTCAGATCCTTTATCCATTTTTTCAATCAGAAATATATTTTCTTGCTATTGAGTTGTTTTAGTTACCAATATATTTTGAATATGAATCCCTTATCAGATTACGGTTTGCAAATGTTTCCACCCATTCCATAGGTTGTCTCTTTACTTTTGTTTCCTTTGCTATGCAGAAGTATTTAGTGTGATGCAATCCCCTTTGTATATTTTTGCTTTCATTGCCTGCGGTTTTGGGGTCATATCAAAAGAAATCATAGCCCAGACCAATGTCAAGAATATTTTCTCTATATTTTCTTCTAGTATTTTTACAGTTTCAGGCCTTACTTTTAAGTCTGTAATACAGTTTAAGTTTATTTTAGTATATAATATATGATAGCGATTCAGTTTCATTCTTCTGCATATGAATACCCAGTTTTTCCAACAGCATTTACTGAAGAGACTGCTTTTCCCCATTGTGTATTCTTGGCACCCTTATCAAAGATCAATTGACTATTAATGCATGGATTTATTTCTGGACTCCGCTATTCTTTTCCATTAGCCTGTGTGCCTGCTTTTATGCTAGTACCATGTTGTCATGATTACTAGTTTTGGAGTATATTTTGAAAACAATTAGTGTGATAACTTATGCTTTATTATTTTTGCTCAAGATTGCTTTGGTTATTCAGAGCCTTTCATGGTTCTATATAAATGTTAGAATTGTTTTTTCTATTTTTGTGGAAAATGCCATTGGAACTTTTAGTAGGGATTATACTGAATCTATAAATTGCTTTGGGTAGTATGGACATTTTCACAATATTAATTATTCCAATCAATTAACCTGGGATATCTCTCCATTTATTTGCATCATATACAATTTCTTTTATAGGTGTGTTACAATTTTTAGTATTTAGATCTTTCAATTCTTTGGTTAAACATATTCCTAAGAATTTTATTGTTTTTGATGCTATTGTAAATAATATTGTTATCTTAATTTGGGGGGTAGTTTTTTGTTATTTTATAGAAATACGACAATCTTATGTTAATTTTGTATACTGCAATTTTACTGAATTCATTTATTAGTTCTAACAGCTTTTTGGTGGAGTCTTTAGGGTTTTCTATATATAAGATCATGTCCTTTGCAAACAGAGACAATTTTACTACTTCCTTTTCAGTTTGGTGCCTTCTATTTCTTTCTCTTGATTAATTGCTCTGTAGAGATGATTATATAATTTTTTTCTTCATTTTGTTCATATAATATATCACATTTATTGGTTCGTGTGTGTTGAACTATCCTTGCATCCCAAGAATAAATTCCACTTGAACATAATGTACTTTTAATGTGCTGTTAAATTTAGTTTGCTAGTATTTTCTCGAGGGTTTTTTTATCAATGTTCTTCAGGGATATTGGCGTGTAATTTTTTTTTCCTTACGGAGTCATCGAATGTCTTTGGTATCAGAGTAATTCTGGCTTAATAAAATGAATTTCGAAGTATTACCCGCCCCCCATTCAACGATTGGTGTTAATTCTTCAAATATTTGGTAGAACTCATCAGTGAAGCCATGAAGTCCCTGGCTTTTCGTTGATGAAAGACATCTTATTTAGTCTCCTTACCTGTTTTTGGTCTGTTCAGATTTTCTTTTTCTCTATGATTCAGTCATGGTAGGTTATGTATTTTTAGGAATTTATCCATTTTTTCTAGTTTATCTAATTTGTTGGTGTATAATTAAGAACTCACTTCTTAATATTTCTTCTTAATATTTTTTCCTGGGTTTTCATTCCCTTTTTCCCTTCTGTTTTTTCACTTTGTTCAATTTTCACTTTAAGAAATAATAATTTTTAAAAAGCTAACAAAAATCATCCTAGCATATAATAGCAAGAATTTAAATCAGGAATCTGCCCTCTTCCTGCAGGAAACATTAGAAATAAATAATGAGGTGGGCGTAGGTGCTTTCAAAAAGGCACAAACACTCCATTTAAAGTGGAACAAGAAAACAGAGAGCTGCCGGGCATGGGGCAGAGCTGTAAGGGCACTGGCCAGAGCAGCAGTGAGCAGTAGGCAAAACACTAAGGGATCTCAGTGTGGGAGATCCCAGGAAGCACCAACAAAAATGTATTTCCTGATGACAGAGGACAATCCTAAGGTACAAAAACCAGAATGGGAGCTACTGAGAACAGAACTGAGATTATCCAGAAACCTCAGTGAACAGAGATGCCAAGAAAAGTGACAAGAGGGGCTGGGGAGCACAGCTGATGTGAAAAAGTGTTTTGTGAAATATCCGTGAAATAAGTTTCATAGAAATAGCCACCATGAGACCAGAACTGGTGGCAGAAACCCTCCTGGGCCAAGTTAATTTTGGAAAAAGGAGGAGGCCTGTTGAGAAGCCATGTGGAGAAACACACAGAAGTGTCATACTTTCAGTGAATAGTCTATTTCTCTGGCAGCAGAAGATAGAATCCTTGAAGCTGTAAGTCCTTTTCCATGCCCCATACATCACCCATCCCACCTACCATGGAAAACTCCTGCAAATAGCTGCAAATATATTTAACTTTGAATCATAAAAGAACAGTGGCACTGAGTCCACACAAAAGTACCATTAAAATGTGTACAAAAGCAATAAAACTTTCCAACAGGAGGAAAGAAGCAGAAAAATATTGCCAAGTTGTTGCTGAAGATTTCGCCAAAGATTGCACCATTAAAATGAGTTATGAAGCAATCACTGCGAGAAAGAAGACCACAAAGCAGAAAAATAAGAGCTCAGAGGGAAAATGGTGGCACAATACAGAAATGTGAGACATGAGCTGACCAAACTCAGGAAAAGAGAAGGAAGGTGAAAGGATTGCAGAAATTAAGATTATTGGAAAGAATACTAGGAGAATAGATGCTGTGGCTACCAGTAGCCACATGAAGAACAAAGTTGATAGAAACGAGAAATAAATAACTAAAATATAAATAAAGGAAATATAAATAAAGGACTAGAAAGATATAGAGGAAAGAGAAAGAGTAATCAGTAATCAATATATTCATACTTGGATTTCTTTTTTCTCTGTTTTTTTTTTTTTTTTTTTTTTTTTTTTTGAGCTTGGGTCTCGCTATGTTGCTCAGGCTGGAGCACAGTGATTATTCACAGATGCCATCATAGAACACTACATCCTTGAACTCCTGGACTCAAGCAAACTTCATGCCTGATCCTCCTGAGTAGCTGGGGCTACAGGTGTGCACCACCACACATGGCTCATATTTGGATTTCTTAAAAGCCCACAACAAAGACAGATATTTTAAAATATAATTCAAGAATTTTTTTTCTGAAAATAGAGAAACTTTGAGCCTACATTTTGTCCCAGGGGAAGCTGACTGGAGCAGTCAACTTCATGATGCATTCTAGTAAAGTTGTTGGATGTTAAATATAATGGAAGACTCTCCAGATATGGGATAAAAAAATTAAGTCACTTCTATGAAAACAAAATTCCATATGATGTCTGATAACATCAGACTCCTGCCTCTACCACAATATCCAGTGCCAGAAGACAGTGAAGCAGCACCTAAGAAATACTATAGGTAAAAAGAATCTGAGTCAAGGATTTTCTATCTAGCCAAGCTATCCTTTAGGCATATAACATAAAAATCCATTTATTAAAACTACAGAGAAATAGTTTAAAATGGTAAAATGCAGAGAAAACTTATTCTCTACTTGAAGAAGGGGTTATCAGAATTCTGCCCAACTAAGAAATATCTGGGGAAAGTTTGGCAAAAAACATAAAAATGATGGTGAGCAATGGATATATCTTGCTACACCTAAAATTAAAAAAAAAAAAAAAAGTGGGGATAAGGGCATCAGAAGAATATGGAAATACAAGGTGGCTTGATGACACGGAAATAAAACAACTAACAAAATGAAGAGTGGGAGAAGACATAGGAGGCTACATGTAAAGTAAATATGCTTATCGATATGGTTTGGCTGTGTCCCCACCCAAATCTCACCTTGAATTGTAATAATCCTCATGTGTCAAGGGCAGGGCCAGGTGAAGATAATTGAATCATGGAGGTGATTTTCCCCATACTGTTCTTGTGGTAGCGAATAAGCTTCATGAGATTGTTTGATAAACGAGAGTTCCCCTGCACCAACCCTCTTGCCTGCCACCATGTAAGACGTGACTTTGCTCTTCACTGGCCTTCAGCCATGATTGTGAGGCCTCCCTAGCCATGTGGAACTGTAAGTCAATTAAAACTCTTTCCTTTATAAATTACCCAGTCTTGGATATGTCTTTATTAGCAGCATGAGAGCAGACTAATATACTTATGTCTCCTCTTAAGTAGCTAGAAGCCAAAAGAGCAGTTAAAGCTAGCAAATCAAATCACGTAGAAATATAAGCATATTTAAGAGTGCAATGATAACCCCTAAGGAAAAATACCATTGAGTACATTTAAGAGGGAGGTATACTGGGTTGACAGGGAAATGGATAAAGAATGTAAGAAGATATAAATTAATTTTTGAATGCTCATTGTGGGAAACGAATAGATACAAGTATGATTATTGTGGAAATCACCAGAAAATGTAAACTTAAAAATATCAGGCATAAACAATTCTTCTAAAGTAAATAGTAAGCATAGTGGATGGTATATATTCATATTTCCTTATATTTGCATAAAGAAAAGCCAGGAAAGGTATACAAAAAATTGATATACACGGTTTCCTGTTGGAAGCCAACAGGCAAAAACCAGAGGAAATAGGGCTTGCCTTAAAGTATAACATTCCACTTTTATCTTTTTTTTCAAAATGAAAATATTGCCCATAAAAATTTACTTTTATTGTTTAAAATTTTAAAAAACAAAATTTTAATTTTTAAAACTAAAATAATTTCCATTCCAGTTACAAAAAATTTACCAGAGAACTGTCCTTTTATCTTGTATCTTCACATTACCATGCTACTTCTGTTCCACATACACTTAGACTTCTTAAAAGAGTAATAAATATTATTTTAATAAAAGCTTGAGTAAATTACATCAGATTTCTTCACTTCTTCACCGTCTTCTACTTATCACAGAAATATTTGCAATTGATTTCCCAAGGTCATCAGTGATCTCATGTGGAAAAAGCTATAAAAATTATCATCATTAATATATCCACTTTTACTTAACAGCCATGTGTAATGCTGCAGCTAAAGAAAGTATTGGTAAATTGACTAAATTTGGACAATATTAGGGAAGCTTGACACATTTTGTTCTGCATAACAACATTTTGGTCAAAGACTGATCACATATACGATGATGGGTCCATAAAATTATAATGGACCTGAAAAGTTCCTATCACTTAGTGACGTCATAGCCATCAAAGCACAACCTTTCCTATGTTTAGATATGTCTAGAAATACAAATGCTTACCATTGTGTTCCCAGAGCCTAGAGTGTTCATTTAATACAGTAACATGTTGAACAGATTTGTAGCCTAGGAGCAATAGCCTAATCCATGTAGCCTGGGTGTGCAGTAGACCATACCATCTAGATTAGTAGAAGTACACTCTGTGATGTTCATACAATGACACATTTCTCAGAACATATCCCTGTCGTTAACTGATGCATGACTGTATTAAAGGAAGCCAGAAATAAATCTTTTTTAGTGAGTAGTATTTGCCTCCTAATTTTTTTGTTTCTTATGTTTAAATTTTTGGTAGCCTGTTAAAGTAATGTTGAATTAAATGATTTTGATTTTTGAAATGGTATTTTAACAACAAAATTACTTTTTTATTCTATTATTTTTAAAAGGCTTATGTATGTAATTAGGTGTGTGTTTTCCAAGGCTTCATAAAGTATCCATGCTTCAATTCAAGTGTGGCAATTTACACATTACAATTCAGCCACCCCAATTAAATACCGCAGAGTGTCCATTCATGGAAGCTGCTTAAACCTCCATCCAAGGTTCTCTTCTTATGTCCTCGCCATTCAAAAACCCACCAGTTTTTAAAATGTTTATTGATGAATCAAGTAAAGTTCATTGGCATGTACTAGCTTCCTCTGGTTAAAGCCAACTTCATTTCCCAGGCTGTGTGATAAAAAAGAATATGAAATTGTATTTTGTTTGAGGTCATAAGAGAGCACTAATTTTCATGACAGAATTGAAACTTTGTGTGTTTCAAAAATAAAAAAGTACATATATAACCTGGAAAATGGCCTTTGTTTTCCTTTCACTGCCAGATCTTATTTCATTATGTTAATTCCAGAGCACAGGCAAAAGAAAACTGACTTAAATTGAACAGTAATCTATAGTAAAATTGACTAATCCAGTTACACTTAATCCAGACTCTGCTAAATGCAAAAAGTAGTACCTTAAATTGAAAATAACAAAAGAACAAAGTGTATTTCTAAAGTGCTAATACATTGGGAAGCCAAGGTCTTCTTGCATGAAGTGTGCATGTAGCACAAGGGATGTGCCTGCAAATGGAAATTTTGTAGCCTATTCTTATAACAACTTGTATGAAATGCTATCAGAATTCAGAAGAGTAATCTTTAACTCAGGCACATCAAAGAATCATTTTTATCTGGCAAAACCATCGACAAACAAAGAACAGCAAGTAAAATAGCAATTAAGAATTTCATTAGAAAAGGCATGAGAAAGCACAAACATCCACTGTGCTGTGTTGAACTTCAGGTTTCTCTTATCAGATACCGCACATCCATATATTCCTGACTCTTACCCTACAGTAGCTTCTGGCATGACAGGTTGTCTTCCTAGGTATTGTACTAAATATCAATGAGAAAAACATTCTCAAAAGTACTATCACCTATCTAAGGAGGAAGGAAATACAAATACAGATGTGTATTATATATATATATATATATATATACACACACATTCACACACACATATCTGTTCATACATACATTTTTATGTATCTGCTTATGTTGGTAAGGTTGCCTAGATCAGAATAAAGTAAAATGAAAAACATTTTAACCTAAAATTATTTGAATATATCGTTTTATAAATCAGATTTTTAAATCATATACATATATAATTATAAAACAAAATTAAATTTTTAAAAATGTTCCTAGAAATAAAAAAAGAATTAAATAAATAGTGATAATTGTATAATTCAATTTTTAACATAATCCCCAGACGGTAAATATTTCAAGGGACTTTAATACCTATTAAGTAGGCTGCACATCCATAGCAGAATAGATCCTAAGGGGAACAAAAAACTGTAAAACAAAAAACTGTAGCTGAGCTCACTAATCATACCATTGTTGGTAATGTATTATTATTATGAGGCTGTTGTGTGTATAGTGTGAAACAAAGCAAATGAGGAATTGCATTGGTGTTACTTAGAACTAAGATTTGGGGCATGAAATAAAATAAATACTGACGTAAGATCTATGATGTTAAGTAATATCTTTGTAGTCCTGATTTCTAATGGGAAGTGTCAGTATAAATTCATAATTCATTTTATTTTTTAAAAATGTATATCTTCTGGCTCTGTCGGAAAGGCCTAATGATCGAGAAAGGCCCAATGACAATGAGTGACCAAGTAGTAGAAAACTTCCCCAGTGCCCAGTTTAGTCTTGACATGCCATCATGAACAGAAAAAGAACGAGTTCCTTGAGAAAGTAGTTGTTACCAGTCTAGAAAATATCTTGGACGATTTCCAAAATAATCAAAGAAAGGGTATCTAGGAAAGTGGGTGGGGTCATAAGGAAACAAGACGAGCATTTCTATACCAGAAAATAAGGAAACACTCTGAGATGACTACCCTGTGTCAAAAGAACCTGGGCGCTGGCCGGGCTAGATGGCTCACGCCTGTAATCCTAGCACTTTGGGAGGCCGAGGCAGGTGGATTACTTGAGGTCAGGAGTTCAAGACGAGCCTGGTCAATATGGCAAAACCCCATCTCTACTAAAAATACAAAAATTAGCCAGGTGTGGTGGCATGCACCTGGAGAATCACTTGAATCCAGGAAGTGGAGGTTGCAGTGATCTGAGATCACACAGCTGCACTCCAGCCTGGGGAACAGAGTGAGCCTCTGTCTAAAAAAAATAAAAAATAAAAAAAAAAAAAGAACTTGGGCATCAACTTGAACAGGTACTCGGTTACTCAGTTCAGATACTCAAAATAGGTTGAAAATGAGACAATGTGAGCACAAATAAGGACAAGAACTGTGTGCACTGAAAAATATTAAACTATTTAAATCTAGGAGTTCGTGATACACACACACAAAATCAGTCATCACCTTTGGAATATATTAAGACTAACTCATTATTTTGAAATAATAATTTCATTTTATTTCATTATTATTCAAATTTCAAATATTTCATTATTTTGAAATAATAACTCATTTATCTTGAAATAAAAGAAAATAACCAAGCATTTAACCTCTAAGAACTATACCTTGGAGCAACCAGATATTTCATGAAGGCAAGTTTCTCTTTACAGAAGTATTCACACTAACAATGGAAAAAAAGAATGATAGAATTAGTCTATTACCCTTCTGTAACCGCTAATGAATTAATGCATCTGCTCAGTGATTTTCAGTCACAACTACTATCACAATGAGAAAAAGGAAACTGGAAATTATATGTGTCCTATTGGAAGAACATACCACTACCTACAAAATCATCTGGCAAGAAAAAAATTAAACTCAAATATGATAATTACCAATGTGCATGAAACACAGAAACCAACAAAACATGTTAAACAACATTATGGAGAGGAACTCCACTATACAGTCTGACAAATTCTATTGAAAAAAAAAAGACTAGATTCTATAACAATAACCAAAAAATGCAAGAAAAAAGGAGAATGGTAGGTAAATCTATAGAAGACACTTAAGAGACTTACTAATCAGCACAATTCCAGTTCATGGACCTTCTTTGGACCCCAATTCAATAAACAAAGAGTGAAAATAATATAGGCTATGGGAAAAATGAGTGATGTGTCAGATGCTGACTGTGCCTCCTGAAAATTCCTTAGCCTATACCAGAGGTCAGAGGCAAACAGTTCTTGGGCCTGACAGGGTCTCCTGAGTCTTTCTGTCTGAGGGCATTTTCTGGCCCTAGGAACAGAGTAGAAGACCCAGTGAGGTAGCTCTCAACCTCACTGCAACCTGTGAGGTGCAGCAATCAGAGGAGATTTCCAGTTTCCTTGAACTTCTAATATGTGTTCTATACAATGTCTCCAGTGATCTCCAGTGGAATTCAGTCCCACTTCTGCCCAACAGAACCTCTTCCTTTGCACACCTCTTTGTTGACTTTCATTTCTCCACTGGCTCACTTTCTTCCACTCTTAAGTGCTTCTTTGTATCACCTCCCAAGGTAAGGTATAACGACATTCAAACCTTCATTGTAGATAGAGTCTGCTTTTATGGGGATACAGGGGTAAAACACTGGGAATTTTATAATAATGAACTTGCATTTTCTGGAGTGTGATCATGATGTTGATGTTATGTTGGAAAAGGGGCTCCTTTGAGAAATGATTTCTAAAACATTTACAGATAAAATTTAAGATATGTGAAATTTATTTCAATGAAATTTATTACAGGGTTGCTAAAAAAGTAGGTGGAGTTATAGAGGTGCAAGATTAGCACTAATTTGACAATTGGTGAAGTTATGTGGTAGGTACATGGATGTTCATTATACCATTATCTCTACTTTTATGTATGTTAATATTGTCAGTAAGAAAAATGTTTTACAAAATGAAGTCCACAATGGTAGTACCTCTGGAAGGATGCCAAGATATTAGTAATACTGGTTGCTTCATACTATGGGAACGAGAAGGTCAAAAGACATGGTGGAAGGGAAATTTGTACTGTACAATTTTTTAAAATCTTTTCAACTTTAACTAAGAGAAAGTGTTACATTTTTAAAAAATAGAAAAGTATTTATGTAATAATGATAATAAATTTACAGGGTTTGGAAGGGAACATGAAAAGCAGTAGAACTGATCATGTCAGTTTCCTGCTTAGAATTCTGTACATACAGCCTGTTGTTCTAAGGATAAAGATCAAAACCTTTAAAACATTCTAAAAGTCCCTTCAGGATCTGGTTCACATTCACCTCTCAAGTCTTGCTTCTTTATAACTTGGCTCAATATGCTCCAAACACAGTGTGTTTGTTGTGTTGTGTTGTGTTGTGTTGTGTATTATTTTGTTTTGTGGTCAAGCTCTTCCTCCTCAAAGCCTTTGCACAAGCAATTCCCTCTTCCTTAGGGAGTTAGAATTCCCATTCCTTAGGAAGGTTTTTCTAATCTCATACTAAGTCCTCATTTTATATACAATCACAGTACCCAATTTTAGTGATTATCATAACTGTGAATTCATTACTTTTATATAATAATATGCATAGCAGCTATAATCTTAGCCCACAAACACAGTTGTATAAGAAACATATCTTTCTACATGGGAGGCTGAGGCAGGAGGATTGCTTAAGCCCAGGAGTTTGAGACCAGCTTGGGCAATGTAATGAGATCCTGGCTCCAAAAAATGGAAAAAAATAGTAGCCAGGAATAGTGGTGTGCACCTGTTCTCCCAGCTACTTAGGAGGCTAAGATGGGAGAATTGCTTGAGTCCTGCCGTTTGAGGCTGCAGTGAGCTATGACTGAGCCAGTGTACTCCAACCTGGGCAACAGAACAAGATTCTATTTCTAAAAGAAAAAAAAGAGAAAGATAGAGAGAGAAAGAGAGAGAGAGAGAGAGAAACATAGCTTTACATAATATCCCTTTCTATTTTGCTAGAACTTTATCTTAATAAGAATAGCTACTCTGTCTATGCTGTTCACTTTGGAAGTTCCAACATGTGATAGTTACTCACTCCATATTTATTAGATAGAAAATAATGGATGTATCACGGGATACTTAGGGTGTTGCTTCACCAGCCAGAAACCTCTGTGGCCAGCAGTACCTCTGCTTGAGTTTTTTTCATGCCCACTGGGCTTGTTCTAACCACTCAGTCTGGCAGGCAGTGCTTGGCTGTCACTACTGGCTCTGATCCCACACCTGTCAAGGGCAAGCCAAGTATGGAGTGGTGAGGGGTGTGTGAATGAGCGAGCGTGGGTTTCAGCCACTGTGCACAGCCAGGCACGTGAGCTGCTGCAGTGGGGCAGGCAGCGCCATGCACTGCATAGACACCAGCTCCGTCCAAGGCTGTGGCTGGATCAGATGTACCACAAGCAGCTTCCTCAGTGAGCACCTGCATCTAGACAACGGGAATGCAGTGGCGCCAGGAAGCATGGAGACACCAGGAACCACAGAGCCCCAAAGAGGGTGTCACAGCCCTGGATCCAGAAGCCTCTAGGTCTGGGATCCCTGAAGGGCCTCAGCTCTTCTGTCCTTCTTGTCGCCTGCAACATGATAACAGGATACGGATGTATTTTGACCCTGTTTGTGTTACAGCTCTTTCAGTCCCACCATTTGGTGGGTCCTGAGTTCTTGTCCCATATCCAGAAAGAATGAGGTATGTGGACAACTGGAGGATGAGCAAAGCAGAGAAGAGCTTCATTGAGCAACAGAACAGCTCTCAGGAGACTCAAAGTGGGTAGCTCCTTTCCACAGGCAGGTCGTCCCAATGAGTGTCCAGCTCTCAGTGGAGAGGAGACATATAGTGGGTAGCTCTTTTCCACAGGCAGGTCATCTGGAAGAGTGTGTGAGTCTGGCTGAGTCTATGGTTTTTATGGGCTCAGAAGTCAGGAAGTGTATGCTGATTGGTCCATGGCCAGCCATGGGTGGGCCTGGAAAAAGCACCATGAGTTCTCATTCTACTTGGCGACTCAACCTAAAACTGGCAGCCCAGCCCCCAGGCTTCAGGCTCTCCCTGGCTTGAACTTGGGGCTTCACCAGGGACCCAACCCTTCCCACCTGTCTGCCTCTTGCCAACATCAACATGCTGTCCATGGCGTCTAGGTTTTCGTGTTGAGGGAAGCCTACAGCTCTGTCTGGAGCCATGCTCAGCCTATGACCCCACCTCCTTCCCTGAGCTCATCAGTGCCCAAAGTTTTGGAGGGGGCCAAAGCAGTGGCAGGGGCTGGCATGTCAGTACCACCCCAAGCATGCACATGGCTGGCTGGGTTGTGACAACACCAGGGCTTAGCTTCAACTTTGCTCCAAAATTGGATTGGACACTGGGAGCAGAGAGAGGCCAGCGAGTGGAAGCAGGCACTTTCAAGCCTGTGAGTGGAGGGGGGCTTCCTAGGCCCCCAAGAATACAGGGATCTGGAACTGTGGCTGGGAGGCTGCAGCTGTGCCCAGCAGTGCAGGGCTCCTGCCCAATCGACTTGGTAGGGGGTGGGGTTCCCACCTGTTCCCGCCCCCTGCCAGCTCCTGGGAGTGTTCAGCCCCAGCTGTGCCTCCCCTGCAGTAGCTGGTGTCCTTGCAGCAGCTGCTGCAGATGGGCCATAGCTGTCATTGGATGGATGGATGGATGGATGGACAGATTGATGGAACTATTGAATAATAAACAAGTAAATGAATGGATGAACAGAACCCTTCAAATTCTGATAATCACTTTTGTTGCCCAGTGATTTGATTTAATGTAAGCCAGATCTTTGTATGTGATGTTTATAAACCAAATGAAAGCCTTAGTTTTACTGTATTCATAAGAAGAAAGGAGGAATACCAAACTGAAGCAGATTACTCTAACTGAAGCCACCCATTTCCAAGTATCTTAATAAAAGTCACTGACACTCCTGCTGAACATCTCTCAACACAGTAGGCACTGTGGAAGAGATTCTGTCTCCTCCATGACAATGACAATAGAGGAATGCTCAGGTTTCTTAATATGAGTGCCAGTAAGTAATAACATGTGTCTAAGTGGCTTATAAATATCAAGGGTATTTAAAATCTAAGTTAGTCTGTACTTTAAATCAGGATAAAGTTAAAATAAATGTTGTAAAAAAAAACAAAAAATAAATGTTGAAGTCATTCTTGGACAAGAAAATTTGTCACAAAAGGCAAAATGCAGACTATGGAATATACAGAAGATGGCCATGCCAATTGTGGTTTTTCAGCAGACTTCATTCAGCAAATTAGTTCTTCTGGCTCGTTATATAACATGTCTTCAGGATCAGCTAGCCTCTGGAAATATTCCCTTCTCTGGGTCAAAGAGGAGATCTTCATTTAATTCCCCTCCTGCTTCATGTTGTTAGTGCATTAATTCTGTACTCATTCAACACCACATCATATTCCCAGGAACTCAGGCAATCCAGGTAGCTTATTTGAACTGACCTGGCTTTCAGAGGAAATATGTATTCATACAAGGGAAAGATTGTAGGCACATAGATTTCCTCTGAAATCTTGTACCTGGAAGGAGGCAATTTTAGAACAAATAAAAATAGGTAGGTATAGGCTTCAGATCCGTATTTTCTGTGTGTGATCATAGACACCCACATTGCATATGTGCATCATTTCTTTTTTAAATTGTCATGCAAGATCAGGCCCATTTCACCAGGCAGGGTTAATTAAGAGAAGAAAAGTGACACGCTTCCCACCCTCATTATTCCACAATAAAGCATGCTGGGCATAGACAATTAAGTGGGTTGGCATTCCTGAAGAGGGTCTCCCTCTTCTATTGCCTTCTTCTTTTTTTTTTTTTTTTTTTTTTTTTTGAGACGGACTCTGGCTCTGTCGCCCGGGCTGGAGTGCAGTGGCACAATCTTGGCTTACTGCAAGCTCCGCCTCCTGGGTTCATGCCATTCTCCTGCCTCAGCCTCCTGAGTAACTGGGACTACAGGCGCCCACCACCACGCCCGGCTAATTTTTTGTATTTTTAGTAGAGACAGGGTTTCACTGTGTTAGCCAGGATGGTCTCGATCTCCTGACCTTGTGATCCGCCCACCTCTGCCTCCCAAAGTGCTGGGATTACAGGTGTGAGCCACCGTGCCCAGCCTATTGCCTTCTTCTTTACAGAGCAAGCAACATTATTTCTGAGAAGACACACAAACATCTTGAACTCCGGGCAGAATAGATTTGAGTGCCAGCAGTTTGTAGGGATTGCTTGGAAATGTATGCTGCCCAGAATCTTGGACTCCTGTGAAGTTGCAGTGCTCCTGAAAGGATTCCATGAACGTCATAGGAAGCTGACCTCGGATGCAGCCTCTCTGGCTTGGAAATAAACTGTCCATTCCTGCCTGCCCAAACTAGATCCTTGTCCAGCCCACCTGAAGGAAGCCTCCAGGGTTATTTTTAAATAATCTGGCTTCTTGGGTCACACAAGGCAACACTAATACACCTGTTCAAATTCACTCTAAATTACCAGGAACGTCAAGCACATAAACTCAAAAGTGGGCCTGCCCACACTACCAGTTAAATGAAAAATGTAAGTTGATTGGAAAATATATAATCAGACTCTTTCCAGGCTTTTCCTACCTGTGGATTCAGTTAAAGAAATAGGTAACTGAAAATTCTCTAGTTTTTCTCAGGTTTATATAACTCAAGGCCATCTTTTCTCAGTTTAAAAATATATAGCTGGGCACAGTGACTCACGCCTGTAATCCTGGTGCTTTGGGAGGCCAAGGAGGGAAGATCTCTTGAGGCAGTAAGTTCAAGACCAACCCAGGCAACATAGCAAGACCCTGTCTCTGAAAAAAAATTAAATCAGCCAGTCATTGTGGCGTGTGTCTGTAGTCCTACCTACTTGGGAGACTGAGGTAGGAGGATTGCTTCAGCCCAGGAGTTCGAGGCTACAGTGGGCTGTGATCATAGCACGGTACTCTAGCCTGGATACAGGATGAGATCCTGTCTTTAAAAAATAGTTTTAAAACAATTTTTTAAATATGCTTATTTGTCTGGCCATGAAATAACCATCACTTCTATATGGAAAAAAAAGGAGCCATGTGCTCAAAAATAAAGGAAGATCTTCAAATAAAGCACACCAACATAGAATAATAAAGAGAAACCTGTTATGTGCTGCTAGCAGGAGGATCAGTCAGAAAATAAGACTGTCCTACCTTCAGATAGTTAGAAGTATTATATAATAAAAATACAGACAGGTCAGGTGAAAGGTGGAGCATGGAAAAAGGCATGCATTGTATGAAACAAGATAAATGTTTCACCATTAATTCAAAGTAGGCGATATAATGACTTGCAGCTTAGGGTCAGCAAGGTAAATGGGTGCTTTACACTGGGAGCTTGTCACTATTTCTCCTGTTGGTGTTGCAAAAGAGGCAGCTCTTGATCATGTAGGAGTTTCAGATAAAAATTTTATCCCTTTACAGAGGCAAAAGTGTCACAAAAATTATAGAAGCATGAGCATTTTGATCATTGTCTGTGATACTATTTACACTGGAGGGAAAAGCCTTTTACCTTCCAGACAAAGTCTTTGTGAAAAGTTCTTGATGGTACAAGATATATGCTCATGAAAGCTATTTCTTTTAATATGGATTTAATATAATTTTTTGCAGTATAGCAGGTGCAAATTGATTCCCATTTACCAGCTGTATTTTGTTTTAAAAAAGAAAAAACCTTTCTGATGAGACTGAATATGTTAATTCCCTTCTTAGCTAGTTGCAATGATTCACAGAATCATTCCTTCTCATTTTCTTATGGCACTAAAACATATACCTGACTCAGCTACCAAAATCAGTTGATTCATCAAGCTGAACTCCACTTTAAGAGACTATAAATGATGAAAGAAGTTGTCCATCATTTTACAGTGTATCTTCAAAGTATCTAACTCCAGAACCTGTGTTTATGGTTTCACTAATGTTTTGATGTCTATAGTCATCCACTTTTACTTATTTATTCAAATAAGAATCTTATTCTTATTCATAAAATGAAGGCTTTTAAAAATTATATAACCTTCAAGTTACCAAATGTTCAGTTCTTCAAGTTTCTGCTAAGATTAAACCATACTTGCTTGGGTTACAGTGTATCAAATTATGTGTGGTTTAACTCCTTGCCTTTTGCTTAGTTGTTCAGGAAGCAACAGTGGCGTGAGATTGGTGTTTGAAAATTAAGAGTTGCACAGTGTCTGTTGTTAATTGAATTCTATTCACCTCCATTATATAATAGAGTCAGCATAGTTGTTACCATATTTTAGAGTCTTCAAAATTATACCACTCACATATACAAGATATATTTTCTGTGGCTATAACCTATAACCAAAGCATTAACAGGAAGCTGCTAACTGAATTAAAACAAGGCCCAGTCACTCCCACATCACTACGAATAATAGCTGGAGAATATCCCCACAATAGCCAAAAGGCACATCTTTTTAGCAGTGATGTCACCGTTCAGCTCAGTTCAAGTCTCTACCACATGTGGATCTTTTATCATTTTGACAAGTTTTTCACCAGCATTTGTGACTGTTCACCAGAGAGTCATGCACACTCTTGAATTACAGTATTTTGTCAGAGCTTTGCCCTCATGTCTTATTTAGATCATAATAATGAGATGATGAAGGGAAATATGCCAAACATATCAGTTGGCAAAATGCAGAAAGTCAGGGCTAAACGATGGTTTGGTTCATTGTGGACATTTTTATACCTCTTGTTATGCTGAGGTCCTAACTCAATGCATTACTCCAGTAAGGCAAAACTTGTCTCTTTCCCCTGTGTCTAAAAGGTGTGGGAAGTCTAGATTTAGTTTAGGAGTCTAGATTTAGTTTTCTCTTTCTCTCGTGTGTGTGTATATATGTATATTTCATATATATGGAAAGTTCTTGATGGTATAATATAGATGCTCATGAAAGCTATTTCTTTTAATATACTTACACATAATGAATTTCAGATAGCCAAAGTCAGAAGACTTTTTGTTGAATTGTTTACTTTTGTAACTGAGAACCTTGGAATGTTTTGCATCATTTAATTACATGCGGGTAATTAAATGACTACACTCAGGGAGGAAAAAATGCCACCAAGCAGATGTCATATACTCAAGGAATGTCATATTTGCTCTACAGATAAAAACAACTATATTCATTTAAAGTAGAAGATGTATGTTTAGCACTATCTTTCCCATGCTTTTTTTCAAACACTACATTCTTTATGCGCAACGTGCTTTCCTATTTCATTCGTAAAAGCTTCTTTGAAGTTGTCAATAAATAATCACCTTTTCCCTTATGATGGCATGGTAACTGAAGATCTGAAATGAACAGGTATCTTTCACAATCACCACCCAACCATCTTTCTGTCTCTTAGTTTGTGATTTGCAGTTCACACTTCTCAAAAAACAGAAGCCTCTTACACAAATACTCATAATATAAAACCTTTGAATATAAAACCTTTGAATTATTTTTAACAGGTGGCTTTGCTCTGACTTGTTTCTCAGTACTTGAAATTCTGTCTTGTTTATATTTATTTTTGAGAGTATGCCTTATTTGTGTCATGGTTATCATAACTCTTAGATGATAGAAACACTGCTTACCTTGCACTAAAATTTTTTTCTTTAATTGGTTAAATTTTAAAAGATGATTTTCTATATTACAGCAATAGCAATGTTGATATGTAGGAATGGCTGGGCCAAGTTAAATGGTGCGATGCACAATTTTACTTAATCTTTGACAAAATACTTGAGCAATTACCAATCTAACTGCTTTAAGTTGTGAGGTGATAAACACATTCACTTAACACTTACAAAGGATCACACAAGTAGTTCATTGTTGAAATAAAAAGTTAAGCATATCATTGTATTATAGAGTTCTTTGGTATAAACCAAATTATATTTTACTTTAATGAGTATCCATTGATGCAGGCATATTTTTATATAAGTGATAAGTTATCTTAAGACTGTAGAAAAGGAATCCCCACTTCTTAGAAATTTAGGGAGAAAGTTGAAAAACATTCTGCCCTAACATGTTATCCCAAAAGACTTCACATATATTTTTGATTAGCCATTATAATAAGTCCTTAAAAAGTAAATAGTTTAACTGTGATTGATGAGCTTTGGGCATCTTCAAAACCATTTTATATATACTTTATATGGTAGTGTCGAATACTAGGATTTTTGGATGACTCAGACAACAATAAAGAAAGGAAATCTCTGAATTAAAGGATTTGCCGATATGTTTTCATGTTCCAAAATATTCCAGGTAGAAGATTACCCTGTTGACAAGCCCTGTTTATGTAGAGGAAACATCCTAAAATGAAGAATGGAAATGTATTATGTTATGATAATGCATTAGATTTACTCCTCAAGGTCTTCCTCATCTTTAATTCTATGAATTCAAAACAACCACTGCCTACAGAATGAGGTCCAGAAATCAGAACTCTAACAGACACAAAACACACCACAATGTCACAGTAGCAGGTAAGATTATTTAGCTATTCCTATTATTTCACTGTAATAATTGAGTAATCTTGTCTGTGAGTTTCATAGGGATTGGTATTACAAAGCAGCCAATTCTATTCAGTCAAACCAGTGAGAATAAATTCTTGCACACACCAAGCTAAAAGACAAGCGTTTGATTAGCAGTGACAAAAATAATATACAGATTTTCCTTGTAGCCATGCCTTAAATTGAATGCCAACTTCTTTCTAATTTAGTGAAATCATTGTTGTCACATGTCACTTAGTAAGGAGTTAATAGAAATGTTTATAAATAATATGGTTTTTACAAATCTAAAGCAGATTTTAGTTTCTGTGTCCTCAATTCATTTGTTCTAAAGTTGACTTAATATTCAGAAATTTCTCTGTTACCATGTATTTCCTTATGATCATGATCATTATCAAAATTATCATCATCACATTTTTACAGATAATACAACCATCTCATGATCACACAGGAAAAGAGAGGACATGTCTGCAAAAGAGTAACTCCCTTTACAGCAATGGAATCAGGACACTTATCACTAAAAGAATGACCATTTATCCAATGACTAAGATAATTTACCCAATAAAACAGCTTCAAACTTTATTTTATTTTACTTTTGAGGAGCAATTAATTAATGTTATTTACATAAAAAGAAATAAAATACTATTTTACAAATGAGTTCTAGTCAAAGCTCAAATTATGCATCAGACATATTATTTATTATTTTGCATAGGGTGATCACTTCCACAGTCCAGGATTCTTTGTCAGCGGACTTTTGTGATAGGATCTGTCCTGTGAATATTCATACTTTTTAAATAGCTAAATAATTGGCTACATCAAAGCCTGAAGTACCCCTTTGCCCTCTTAGGAAAGATGATAGTTGCTTCTTAGGCCTTGTTAGGAATATACTAGTTGTATTAAATATTTTTAAAAATCAGAAAGGTTTTGCCTTGATGTACTGAGCCATGGGAAAACCATTTAGAAAAAGTGATCATTTAAAAGAAAAAATGTGTCTATTATTCAAATTCATAAATTCATAGGTTTTGGGAGCCAGAATCTAATAATTTTGTAATATTATTTGATATACAGTAATATCACTAATCTTTGAGAACCTGGAACATTGTACATATTATTAAAATACAAACTTGAATTATTTTCACTGGATAAGATGCAAGAAGCCATTGTAGAATCTGAAACCAGAAAGCAAAATTGTAATTGAGACCTGCAAAGATCTACCCCACAAAGAGTAGCACAGATGAGAGCAGGGAGAGACTGTGGGAAAAATTATGAACTAATTTGGGAGCAAAATCATGCAAGCAAAACTAGTTGGGTCATCTATGAAAACAAGAATTCAAGAGACATCCATAAATAATTCTGCATCTTTTATTTAATATCTAAAAGGAAATTTTTATTCAAAGTAAAAAATACGGAAATTTAAAGACGTGTAAAATTAAAACTTATGTAGGATAATGATTAAGAATATGATCTCTGAAGTCAAAGAAATAACTTACTATTATTTAAACCACTAGTGGGTTTTTAACTTTCAGTACTAAATTTAAATTTGTAGAAATTCAATTTAGTCCTTTTCATTTTATTTTTTGAGACAGGGCCTCTGTCACCCAGGCTGGATTACAGTGGCGTGATCACAGCTTACTGTAGCCTCAACCTCTTTGGCTCAGATGATCTTACCCCCTCAACCTTCCTCAGAAGGCCAGGAGCACAGGCATGCACCACCATGCTCAGCTAATTTTTGCATTTTTTTGTCAAATGGGGTTTCGCCACGTTGTCCAGGCTTGTCTCAAAATCCTGAGCTCAAGCAATTTGCCTACCTCAGCCTCCCAAAGTGCTGGGACTACAGGTGGGAGCCACCACCAAGCCTCTTTTCTTTATTGGTGTCTTCAATTTTTTTAGCAACATTTTGTAATTTTGAGTGCACAAATCTTTCACCTCCTTAGTTAACATTATTCCTAGGTATTTTATTCCTTCTGAAGCTATTCTAAATTGTTTTATTAATTTCTCTTTTTACTTTTCATTTTTAGTGTATAGAAACATCACTGATTTTTGTGCGTTGGTTTTTTATCTTGCAAATTTACTGAATTTGTCTGTTAGTTCTAAAAGATTTTGGGGGGTCTTTAGGATTCTCCACGTATTAGATCACGTTATCTGTGAAAACTGATAATTTACTTCTTCCTTTCCAATTTGGCTACATTTTTAATTTTTCATGCCTAATTGCTTAGAAATTCTAATACTACGTTGAATTGAAGTAATGAAAAATAGCACCCTCATCTTGTTTGTGATTTGGTGGGAAAAGCTTTCAGTTTTTCACCATTCATTGCATGTGATGTTAGCTGTGTTTCATTATAATGAGGTGGTTCCTTCTGTTACTAGTTTGCTATTTTGTTTTTACCACAAAAGGATGTTAAATTTTGTCAAATGACTTTTCTGCATCAATTGAGATGATTACCTTTTGCCCCTTTATTCTGTTTATCACATTTTGTATATGATGAACTATCCTTGCATAACAGGAATAAATTCCACTTAGTAAAGGTACATGATCTATTTAATATACCATTGAATTCAGGTTGCTAGTATTTTGTTGAGGATTCTTGCATCAATATTCTTAAGATATATTGGTCTGTAGTTTTCTTGTAGGAGCTTTGGCTTTGGTATCAGGTTAATGATGGTCTCAGGTACTGAGTTAGGAAGTATTTCCTCCTCTTTACTTTGTTTGGTGGTGTTGGAGAAGGATTAGTCCTAATTCTTTAAATATTTCATAAAATGTACCAGTGAAGATACGTAGTCCTGGGCTTTTCTTTGTCGGGAAGTTTTAGATTTCTGAGTCAATCTTCTTACTAGTTACAGATCTATTCAGATTTTCTATTTCTATGTAATTGAGTCACAGTAACTTGTGTTTCTAAGAATTTGTCCATTTCATCTAGGTTATTTAATTTGTTAGCATACAATTGTTCATAGTATTCTCTTGTAATTTTTTTAAATTTCTGTAACATCGGTAATAATGTTTTCACTTTTATTTCTATTTTTAGTTGAGTCTTCCCTTTTTTTCCTTAGTCAATACAGCTAAAGGTTTGTCAATTTTGTTGATCTTTTGAAATAACCAGCTCTTGGTTTTACTGATATTTTCTCCATTGTTTGTCTATTGTTTATGTTGTTTAGCTATCATTATTAGCGATACAACTATAAATTTCCCTTTCGGCAGTGTTTTTGCTTCATCTCTGAAGTTTTGGTACATTGTGTTTTTATTTATCTCAAGATATTTTCCAATTTTACTTGTGACTTTTTTTCCTTGATTTATTGTTTAGGAGTCAGTTGTTCAATTTCCACATATTCGCAATGTTTTAGTTTTACTTCAACCATTAATTTTTAGTTTTATTCTATTGTAATTTAAAATGATACTTTGTATGATTTCAATATTTTTACATTTACTAAACTTGTTTTGTGGCTTAGCATATCACTTTCCCTGGAGAATATTCCATGCTCACTTGAGAAAAATGTGTACTCTGCTGTTGCTGGGTGGAGTGTTCTGTATGTCTTTTACATCCAGTTGGTCTATAGTGTTGTATAAGGCGTCTTTTTTTTTTTATTCATCTTCTATCTGGTTGTCCCTTTGTTATGGGACCTTTGGGGTGTCGCTTACCTGGCCAGAAAACTCTGTGGCCATTGGCACGTTTGCCTGAGTCTTGCTCAGGCCCGCTGGGTTCATTCCACCCACTCAGCCTGGCAGGCTGCGCTCAATTCAGGCCACTGGCCTGAATCCCACGCCTGCCAAGGGAGACTGCGTGGAGTGGTGAGGGGTTTGTGAGTGAGCCTGGGGTTCGGCCACTGCGCAGTCAGACATGCCAGTTGCTGCAGTGGGGTAGGAAGCTCTAGGTCGTACCCGGGCGCAGGCTCTCTATAAGGCTGCAGCTGGACCAGGCGCACTGCAAGCACTTCCACAGCTGGCACCAGGGAGCACAGTGGCCCCCAGAAGCTTGGAGACGCCAGGAACCGCAGGGCCCCAAAGAGTGGGTCATAGCCCTGGCTCGGGGAGCTCCCAGGTCTGGGCTCCCTAAAGGGCCACAGCTCTTCTTTCCTTCCCTTCGCCTGCAACTTGGCGAGCAAGGAGCGTGTCTCAGCCCTGTTTGTGTTACAGCTTTTAGCCTTGCCATTCGTCCCGTCCTGAGTTCTAATCCTGTGACCAGGAAGAACGAGATATGCAGATAAGTGGAGGATGAGCAAGACGAAGAGGAGCTTTATTAAGCAATGTAACAGCTCAGAGGACACCAGCATTGGGTAGCTCCTTCCTGCAGCCAGGGTGTCCCCACCAGTGTTCAACTCCTAGTAGGCAGGGTAGCTCCTCTCTTCAGGCAGGTCGTCTCAACAAATGTTAGTTTCTCAGCAAAGAAGGTAGCTCCTCTCTCTGTAAAGAGGCGCTGCCGGCCCGGCGCAGTGGCTCACGCCTGTAATCCCAGCAGTTTGGGAGGCCGAGGTGGGCGGATCACAAGGTCAGGAGATCAAGACCACCCTGGCTAACACAGTGAAATGCCGTCTCTACTAAAAACACAAAAAATTAGCCGGGCAAGGTGGCGGACGCCTGTAGTCCCAGGAGGCTGAGGCAGGAGAATGGCATGAACCTGGGAGGTGGAGCTTGCAGTGAGCCTAGATCATGCCACTGTACTCCAGCCTGGACCACTGAGCGAGACTCTGTCTAAAAAAAAAAAAAAAAAAAGGCGCTACCTTCTTTGCTGAGAGCTGGACACTATCAGTTTTGCAAATGACATCTTAAAGTCTCTTACAATTATTCTAGAGCTGTTTCTTCCTTCAATTCTGTCAATGTGGCTTCATGTATTTTGGAGCTCTGATGTTCGGTACATATGATCTTGGTGAGATCATCCTTTTATCAATATATAATTCATTCAGTCCTACAACAATATTAGACATAGTGCCTATTTTGTCTACATCGGTATAACCACCTCCGCTCTCTTTTAGTTACCATTTGCATGAACTATCTTTTTCTATTTTAGCACTTTCAAGTTATATGTGCCCTTAGATCTAAAGCGAGTCTCTGTATACCACATAATGTTATATTCTATTTTTCTATCCATTCTGCCAATCTATGTCTTTTGGCTGAGAATTTTAGTTCATTTACATTTACAGTAATTACTGACGGGGACTTATTTTTGCCATTGTGTTATTTGTTTTTTGTATATCTTATAACTGTATTGTCCCAACTTTATTTCCAATGAGTTCTTTTTTAATTAGTAGTTTCTACTTCTCAACTGGCACTCGATTTTCTCTTTATTGAGTCAATTTACCATATTTTCATTTAAACTTGTAAACATGCTTACCTTACTTCTTTGATTAAGTTTGTAAACTACTTTAAATTCCAACCTCTGAGCTCAATCAGGGTAAGTTTCTATTGACTGTCTTTTTTCTGAGTATAGGTCACACATTCCTGTTTCTTTGCGTGTTTCATAATTTTTGGCTAAGAATTTGATGTTTAAAATAACATATTTTAGCAACATCCCCGGGTTTTCTTTGACTTTTTTTTTTTACTGTGTTTTGTTTTTAATATCTTGCCTTGAATTAAACTGTGAAATCTGTCCACCATAGGATGCTTCTGTTCAGTCTTTTTTTCAGTCTGGTTCCCTAGAGTTTGCCCTTATGTCTGCATAGCTATTAGTCAATGATCTGGGAAAAGATTATACTCAAATACCTTGAAGCCCCTAAGTCCTTCATTGGATACAAATAGATCTGTTTGTGGTTTAGGTTGCACATTCAAATTTGGTGGCAGTTTGCCTGTCTCCCTTGAGTTTTACTTTTTACTGGGTTCTTGCAAGTCTTTTTCTGCTCCTGTATGTAGATTCCTAGTCATCCAGTTATACGTAGAAAACTTATCTCAACACTTTTATTGTTCTCACCATTCCATGATCTCCCATTAATTTCTGGCTGGTTGTCTGGTTGCCATGATGGTGACCTCAATCTCAGAATATTGAAGTTCCAGGAGTTTTCCTACTGAGTTTACCACAGGAAGCTGATAAAGCTACAAGACTTCACACCTGCCCCAAATTAACTTTGCCACTCTGGTGGCTTTGGTGCCAGAATTTTTGTTCATTATTTTGCTGGTAAAGCTACAAGTCTCACTAATCATGCTGGGGAGGAGGAATAGAAGCATCTCTAGACAAAAAGTTCACAGGCTCCCACTGTGTTTGCCTCTAAGCTACTCATTTGGTCTTCTTGCATTTCCACACTTTTTCTCATTTTCAGAGCCTGCAATTCCTCTTTTTATCTAGTTTTATACTTTTGTTTAGGATTCATAG
Source organism: Homo sapiens (assembly GCF_000001405.40). Classification (NCBI taxonomy): domain Eukaryota; kingdom Metazoa; phylum Chordata; class Mammalia; order Primates; family Hominidae; genus Homo; species Homo sapiens. The sequence continues at coordinate 35,217,329 of NC_000008.11, forward strand.
ACATTCCATGCTTTCATAGACAGAGGTTTGTCTTCTATATCAGTTGTTGAATACTCTGAAACACCTGTTGGATTTTACAGCCCACCAAAGTAAATAGATAAAACAATATTTCTATGGACTAAATTCTGTTTTGTTTTTATTTCTATTTTTAGGAATTCTGTCATGCACCTTCTGATTCTATCTGTTTTGGGGCAACTCTATCAACTACAAACACTTATGAAATAACTCCTGTCTACCAATTTTGTCCTGAATTATAGATACATGGGAAAGAATACGACATGCTGTGTTATAGAATATCCTAATACAGAATATCCTGTAAACTTCCTGAAGGAAAAGATCCATTTAGTACTTTGTGTCTATTTAGCTTCTTGTTTCTTGTCCTGTTATTCATTATTTCAATTTTAAAATATTGTGCAAAGGCTTATTTAAATTTTATAAACAAATATTGCAATATCTGAAGTTCTCAGTAATGTCATTCTTCAGCTTGTTGATTCTGTTGATGCTTATTGCGGTTAGTTGCTAGTATTTGTCACACTTAATTATAAACTCATGTTTGTCTGGGTTTTATGTGTAAAATCCCAGAGTTCAAGCAACAGCGCTCCAAAGAGGATATCGTTTTCCTACTGCTCTATATCCTGGGACACTGCACATCTAGCATGAGGTAATTTCAATTCTTGGATTTTTCTGTAACCAAGTAGGTAATATCATTTTGACCTCCAAATCTATATACAGGAAGGTTACTTTCAAAATAGAAACTGTTTTTTAAAACCTAGATATCAGGATAAGAAAGACGAATCTTCTGATATTGTCCCTCTGTTGATAAGTGGACATTGCTGGTCCCCAATTTCAGTCATGTTGTATTACTTTAAGGGTCCCCAGTTTCTATGCAGATCTGAAGTCCAATTCCTTTCCTTCTGAAGACCCAACATTTGCCTCAGGTCCCCAGAGCTAGCAATCAAGTGCAAGTCTGTAGGTTTAAAACTTTGTTAAATTCCTCAGGACAACCAGTTTCAGAGTAAACTTATCATTCTGGTGTCCACATCTTTATTTTTGGCTTCAGCATTTTTCTCTCAATTTGAAGTTCCTGTGGTGCAGTATTTCTCTCAGAAGTTCACAAGCATTGGAGATATAATTGCCGTGGTAATAATATTAAAAAGCTGCAGCCTATAAGAGATGATCGGGTTGTGAGGTCTCTACCCTCATGAACAGATTAATGCCTTTATCTCAGGAGTGGGTTAGTGATGGCGGCAATGGGTTCCTGGTAAAAGATAAATTAGGCCTCCATTTCCTCTTCCTCTTACATGCTCACTTGCCCTTCTGCCTTGGGATGACACTTGCCAGATGATAGCTCCATGTTCTTGGCTTTTCAGCCTCCAGAACTGTGAGCCAAATAAACTTGTGTTCTTTATAAATTACCCAGTCTGTGGTGTTCTGTTATAGCAGCAGAAAACAGACTAAGACAGATGGGAACTTGACTATGCACTAAAAACAAGTTGGTAATATTTTATCTAGCATTTATATATATTTTTTCTTTATGTGCTATAAAATGAAGTGTTCATATTGAATTTAGTAATTTTTTAGAGTTCAGTTCTGGAGTTTTCTAAGTAAAAAATTATACATGTATAAATAACGTTTGTTCACTGGTCTCTCTGATAAGCATAATTTTTAAAACAGTGTTTTGTCATGGCTGAATCATCTAGAATATTGTCAAATAATTAGAGTGATCGCATTCTAGCTTATTCACAGTTTTAATGAGAACGACGTGCGTTTTGCATTATAACTTTGGCTCTGGGTTTGGAATAGTTGTCAATCATGAGAATGTACTACTTTTATAGCTTAGTAATTTTTAGTCACAAATAAATGCAAAATGTAGTGACTGTCTTCTTTTTAAATTTTCTTTTTTTGAGACAATGTCATCCAGGCTGGAGTGCAGTGGTACAATCATTTCTCCCTACAGCCTTGATCTCCCAGGCTCAAGCAATCCTCCTACTTCAGCCTACCAACTATGCGCGACTACAGGCACATGCCACCATGCCTGGCTATATATATATGTGTACACACATATATATATATATATATACACACACACATATATATATATATATATATATATATATATATATATATATTTAGTAGACACAGGGTGTTGCTATTTTGCCCATGCTAGTCTTGAACACCTGAGCTCAAGAAACACCCCCACCTTGGTCTCTGCAACTGCCCTTTTAGCACTTATTGAGATTACTGCAAGGTTTCAGCTATTCAAGAGCTATAATATTTCTGTTAAGTAAGTGACACTTGTAATTACCTCTAGGGGAGAAGACCGCTACACCAGGAGTAGCATTCCCATGATGACAACACACTCCATGGTTTGGGGTCACCAAGGAAGATACGATTCACGTAGACACTGAGTAGAACAAGGCTTTACTCCCATAGAGAAGAAACAGAGCAAGATTAGCTTCAGGGTGAGCGTTAGTCACCCATGGCCTGCAGCTGATGCAGGGTGATTGTCTACATGTATCCATCTCCTATTGCAGGCAAAGAATCCTGATGCCTCACTCTGGGATCTGAAATACAGAAAGCTGGAGTGTGTCTGAGGGCCATATAATGCACTTTTTTTTTTCATATAAGATCTTGTTCTATTGCTCACTTTGGGGTGCAGTGGTATGATCCTAGCTCACTGCACCCTCATACTCCAGGCCTCAAGTGATCTTTCAGCTTCAGCCTCCCAAGCACCTGAAATTATAGGTGCATATCATCATGCCTCGCTAATTTTTTAAAAATTTTTTCTGTAGAAATAGGGTCTTCCTATTTTGCCCAGTATGATCTCAAACTCCTGGCCTCAAGCTATTCTCTTGTCTCGGCCTCCCAAAGTGCTGGGATTACGGGAATGAGCCACTGTCCTGGCCAAATGCACATCTTTAAGCAGAACAAGGAAACATACATCAAGTCTGTAACAAGGAAAGATACTCCCAAACAAAGCAGTATGCTCAGCACTGGTTGCAAGGGCTGGCTCTCTCTTTGTAAGGAAATGTTCCAAGTCCAAGTCTACTCTTGGGTAGCCATGTAGGGGTCAAAATACTGCACACACAAAACTGCCATTCCCAACAGTTTTCTAGTCTTAAACTCTTTTAATGAAATTAAAGGAGTTTTCTGAAAATTCCAACTTGGTCACAATATAGACATTTTATACATTGTTATGGATGGAATGTTTGTGTCTTTCCCATAACCAAATTCATATGTTGAAATTCTAGCCCCCAGTGTGATAGTATTAGGGGGTGGGGTCTTTGGGAGGTTAACTAGATAAAATGAGTTCATGAGGGTGGATCCCTCAAAAGTGGAATAAGTGTCCTTATAAAAATCCCGAGATAATTTGCTTCTCTTTCTACCATGTGAGGATGCAACAAGAAGGTGCCGTGTATAAATGAGGAAATGGGCCCCCACCAGACCCTGAATCTGCTGGTGCCTTGATCTTGGATTTCCCAGCCTCCAGAACTGTGAGAAATGAATTGCTGTTGTTTACAAGTGATCCAGTCTGTGGTATTTTGTTAGAGTAACCTGAATGAAATAAGAAACACACACACACACACACACACACACACACACACACACACACACACATATATACATATATATACACATATACAATGCATTTGTTTTCATTGAGAGCTTTGTAGCTATATTCATACAGGATTTATTTGGTATGTGTATTGTACATTTACATGTTTGAATTATGCTAGTTTTACAACTGGAAATAATTTTTGGTTAAATTTCCATTGTGAAATTTTGAACCTAAAAAGAAATACGTGCTCATTTTATCTAGTGGAATAATGTGAAGATGCATAAAATGAAGTTAGTCATCTCTTCCCACTCACAAACTTTTCCTATCTTGTTTCCACATTTTTCTATGCTTATAAAGATATAAAAATATTTTATATATTTAAATTTTTTGTGGTGGTTCTTTGTTTTTAATAAAATGTGATCACTCCACACTACTCATGACTTAACTTTTTTGCATTAATAATATAACATGGATATTCCTTTAGGTCTATACATGTGAATTTATCACATGTTTTTTAATAGTTACATAATATTTCACCATATAAATGTACTGCACTTTATTCAAATTTTCCTTGAGTAGATGTATATTCATATGAGATTTACAAAGATTTTAGTTTAGTTTTGCTTTTGTTGGCCCCTACAAATAGTAAACAGCTTAGTATATGTAAATTATATACAACAATTTTTAGACTTCTAGAATAAATTTATCAATATGAGATTATAGTACAATATATACTGCCAAAAAAGTTTCCAAGAGAGTTATATTAATTAACACTCCAATCGATAAAATATGATAGTGACCATTTCTTTATATTATCACCATTTCTATATTATATCTAATTAAGGATGAACAATGGTATAACATACAGTTAATTGGCATTTCCCATACTATTAATGAAATTGATCACTTGTTTATTTTCCATTTTTTATGTGTTTATGTATTTATTATTTTGTGTTTATTTTCCATTTCAATTTCTTTTTTGATAATTCTTTTTACTATAATTTATCAAATTATTTTACTTTTAGTTATCAGTATGTAGAAACATATCATTATTAGAAACATTATCTAGCTTTGATCACATAGTTGCAAAAAATTCCCATTCTATCATATGTTTTTTGATGTTTTGATATCTCAGTGTAGTTTTTTAAAACAATAATTATTTTATGGAAGTATAAATTACATAACAAACAGCAAAAACAATCATAATTTTACAGCTTGATGATTTATCATAAAATGAACATAACCATGAAGACATCACTCAAACAAGAAAAAAATAGGACAGCACCAGCAGCCACAAAATTCTCCTATTTGCTTCCTTTATTCACTGTGCTCTCCCTCATCCCTAATGGTAGGCTCACTTTTAACCCCATGGGTTAGTTTTGCCCATTTCAAAATGTCATATATCTATTAATATTTTGAGCATATTATGATATTCATTTTTTTATACAATCAATGTTTGTTTTGGTAAATGTCATCTTTTCATTGCTTTTTAAAAAATTTTTGTACATGTCTTTTCACATGGTATCATTCTCCTTCTGCCTGAAGATCTCCCCTTAAGTACTTCAATTAAGTTGGATCCTCCAATGATAGATTCCATCATATTTTGTTTATCTGAAAATGTTTACTTTGGCTTCATTTTGAAAGGTATTTTCATTGCATGTGGAATTTTAATTGGCATTTCTTTCACTCTTTTGATGACAATATTCCATTGCCATATAACTTCCATCATTTTGTTGAGATGTCAGCAGTTTATCATCATTAATTTATCATTCCTTTGTTTTTACTGCTTTCTTTTAATTTTTCTTTTCCAACTTATTTTGTGAATTTTACTTGAGGTGCCTAGGTTAGTTATTCTTTTGTATTCTGCTTCAGCTTTGTAGCAGTTCTTAAACCTTTGCTTAATGAGTTCCGTTGATTTTATAAAAAAATCAGACATTATTTCTTCAAATATTGTACCAGCTCACTCTCTTTTCTTCTGATATTAAAATTCCAAATTTAGACCTTTCCAAGATGTAATATATCTCTTGTGCTTCTTTCTCTCTTTCTTTTTGTTTATTCATTTCTCAGTGCTTCATTTCTGGATATTTCTTCTGGGCTATTACCAATATCACCAATTATCTGTTCATCTATATGTTATAAATTTAACCCATAATTTCAATTATTATATTACTTAGTTTCAGAAAGTAGATCTAGGATTATTTTGATTTTCTAGTTAATTGCTGAAATATTTTTTTTGTAATTTATTAAAATATTAATCATTTAAAAACATATCTATCTGCACTTGGTAAAGCATATCAATCTTTTATGTGTGAAAAATTGTTTTAACTGTTTTTACTATAGATTTAATTCACTATGTTTTACATCGATATGTGATTTCACTTGAAGATGCTGATGATAGTATTCCACAGTCTTTAGCCATCCACAGTGAAAGTTGTAAAATCTGTTGTCATCTGTTTCTTTCTAGGTTATATCCATTTTTTAAAAATAGCTGATAAATTTTAACAGGATTTAATCCTTGATTTTCTGTGACATCACTATGATATGTAGCTGTGTGGATTTATTTATGTATTTATTTATTTAATAGTTTTTTTGAGATGGAGTCTTTCTCTGTCACCCAGGCTGGAGTGCAGTGGTGTGACCTCAGCTCACTGCAACCTCCACCTCCTAGGTTCAAGCAATCCTCCCACTTCAGTATCCCAAGTAGCTGGGATTACAAGCATGTACCACCATGCCCAGCTAATTTATAAATTTTTAGTAGAGATGAGGTTTCACCATGTTGGCCAGGCTGGTCAACTCCTGACCTTAAGTGATCTGCCTGCCTCGGCCTCCCAAAGTCCTGGGATAACTGTGCCCAGCACGTATTTATTTGTATATATTGTACTTAATAATTGGAGTGTGCTTTTCAGTGAGTAGTTATTTCTGTCTGTAATCTTGAATTTTTTACTTCCATTTATTAAAAACCTACTTCTCCACCATTCTCATGATACTTTAACTCTTACTAAATGTTTATCAGAGTATCTCAATATAGTCTCAAAGTCTCTTAACTTCTTTTACAGGTTTGAAGTTGTACTAGCAATGTTTTTGTATTCTGACGTTTCCCTGGGTTTTATTTTCAGTGTTATATTTCCGTAGTATTAACTAATTCTCTCTTCATTTTTGTCAGCCTTGAGCTGTGTGTTTATTACTTTTCAGTGACCATATGATCCAATTCTAATATTTCTACTTTTTGAAAATCCACCAATACTTGTTTTATTTCAGTTTGTTTGGTTTAGATTTTTAATTTACTTCTTATAATTATGTAATAAATGTTTCTTCTGTTTATACTTAGAGCATCCCAGATAAATGTATTTTAAGGTCTATGATTTTTTAAATGAAGAGTGGATTGATATTCAAATGTTGATTTTATTTTTCTGCATTTTTAAGCATCATATTATATTCAAGTGTTTAGGATATTATTTAGTATGGTCACTTGAAGGTAGATAATTACTTTTCTGCCTCTCTCTCCCTACCATATCACCATATCATCTCTCTCCTTCTGTGATTACCATTCTTTAGATTGCCTCCCATCTAAACCCAGGGCCCCAAGTCCAAAAATAGGTCTTATAAAAGTCATTCACAACTTCTGAGAAGTAGTATTATTGTGAGAAATCATACTCCTTGAGCCAGTGTATGATTAGTTTCAGTTACCAGTAAGGAAGTTGTGGCCTTGTAGTTCCTGCTTCTCTAAATAGCAGCCATAGATTGACTGCATTTCTTTCAGGCTGTCCTCTTGTGTTGAGTCATTCCATCCCAATCTCTGCTTCAAGCTGTGCAACTGGCTGTGGTATCACATATGAGGTAGAGCTCTTAATTCCCTATTGCACTGCATTATTCAGACCCCCTACCCCACTGCCTGCTTCAAAAGCCAGATCCCAGAAAGTCCCTGGATTTATCCCAACTCACCATTTAGCAGTTCTGTTCTGTTGATGATCCATGCAGATATTTATCTTGAATTTGAGCCAGGCTGTGTGTGTGTCAAGTTTCCTTTTTTATATGTTATCTGTTGTTCCTACATGTGTAAGTGGATAAAGATTAGTTAATGTATAAAATTACTAGGTCACCCTGGTCAGAAGTCATTTCTTTATTCTCAGAGCCTTAAAGGATACCTTCAAATATCTTACTTATTGTTTCTCTCTCTCTCCTCTCTCTCTCTCTTTACGTAGATGCACCAGTTCACATATACTCATATACATGCACACACAATACTGTATGTATATAAACATATATGTATCTATAGCTCTATGGGTCAACTGGTGCATCTACCCAGAATGTACATATGTGTGTATGTGTGTATGTGTGTAATCTGCTTTCTCTTCTCAGTAGGGAAATATATTGTCAGTTGTTTGAGCGCAAGAGAATCTAAGGAACTTTACCATGATTTTCTGCTTGGATAGTTTCTTACTAAAGCACTAATAATGATCATGACCTTTTAGTGATCTCCACCATCTCTAGACCTAGATTGTTGGTCTCTAGGAAAGCAGGTACTTGAATTGGGATAAAGTCATCCTTATACCTGAGAAGATAAGTGGAATATTTGGTTGAATTAAATTGCAAATGGTACTCTCTTAAATTTTATTTTCAGTAAAATACTACTTAACATGTAAAGCAGATCTTTTCCCCTTCAGAATGCATGACAGTCATTTACTAATGAATGCTTTTAAATCTACTTGCTGAGCCTTAAGATATAACAAATTATAAATTCAATATTTTTGCTGTAAGATGGAGAAAAAGAAGCAGGTATAAGATTTGGGCCAGAAAAGTCAACGCTTTATTTAAAAATTAAAGAAGAGTCTGTTTGTTAAGCTAGCATCTTTTCTTTGCACATCTTCAATTGGAATCATGTAACAGCTACTTAAGTCCTGCTTTAAAGGACTGCTGAAGATGTCATCCTTATTTTAGTTACAGGGATTAATTTACAATATCTTATTCCAGAAGATAAGTCAACAGAAAAGAAGAAAAAAGGAAGGAAACGAAGACAAGCAGAAAATAAAAAATAAATAGAAAGACAACTTATATGCCTACTTCTTTTATTCCACCTTGCAGACAAATCATATTTTTCTTTGCTTAGTGATTTCTAGATGTCATTTTTACAAGTGGCTTCTTATAAAGTCTGTTAGATTAATTCATAATTATATAGGCAACTTCGTGAATACATACTCCATTTGTAACATTTTGTTCAAGAGGCCGGATAGCTCTTTTTTCTTTTGGTTCTGGTATTCCAGACAGGAAATGTATTTTTTCCTGGTCTCCAACTTTAACATTCAGATATTCCCCAACTGCACCCATCCATTCCTAAGTCCTTAGTCTAAGGTAAGATGGATAGTTATCATGTAAAAATATATGGGCTGACCCTACTCATGTCTGCATTCTGGAAACTCTGCATCAAGCTCACTTCCCCCTAACAATTTATTCTGCATGGATTTGACAGTTACAGAGAAATCAAACATCCGTGAATCTCATATTAATGAGAGGATACAGACATTTGAATATGAGTTTCTTTCACTTGTCACATTTTTGACTTTTGATTCTGTTCCTGACCAGAAACTGCAGGGCAATCATCTTCTCAGGCCTCCTTCAGCCTTGTTCTATTTGGAGAGCTGTTTGGCTTATCTGTGTGGTCTAGTGGAGGATACATGGCAGTCATATGACTTTGAACCCTTCAAGAACTACAAATGCACTTTAGTTATCTTTGGCTGTCTCTTCCTTCATTCTCTCTATGCACCAAGAGGCATAGAGCTTACCAGAGTAGATAAAGAGAGGTAAATGAATGAATGATATTCAAAGGTGCAATGTGGAAAGAGTAAATAAAGACAAAACTAGGCTGTAAAAACTCGACACAAATACACACCCCATAAAGATATGACAGCATTTCTATTTGACCATAAGAATCCTACTATTTTCTCTCAAAATGGAAGGACATCAGGCTATTGCTGGGTTACTGTAAAGACCTACAAGTGCTGGGATGTGTAATTGTCACATTTCTGATGCTAAATGCCTAGGTAAGGTAACTCAGGGGTTGCATGTCCTGCTGTCATCAGAGGCTACATCTTTTATGAGTTAACACATCTCACCTTTTCTCACCACAGTTTATTATTTTTAAAAGTACTATCACATTAATTTTACTGTCAAAGAATTGTGTTCCTTGTTATTATTTTTAAGTTCTTTCATTCGTCTGTGTCAGTAGCTGCAGCTGAACTCCAAGATGCCTGCTCTAGGAAGAATTCCCAGTGTACAAAATGGTCAAGGCACACTTGCAGTGTCAGGAAAACCTTTTTAGTTAAAGTCGTATCTTGGTGCCCTGCTGCCCTTTTAAACAAATGTATTGGATTTTTGCACTTTATTGCTGCTTCATAGACCAATCTCTAAAATAGACTTCTCTAATTTTGTGTGTGAGAGAGAGTTTACTTAATAAACGATTCCATATTGCCTTTAACAGGGAAGGTTGTTAACCTGGATTACTGTACACAGATAGAACATCACATGTGAAGCACCTGCAGCTCCCCAGCTTTTAACATCATTTTTCTCCCGTTTCCAGCAGGTTCATGAATCTTGAGCTGGGCTGTGAGCACACACCATGGTGAATAAAATTCAGCATGCTCTCTGTAAGCCACATGCACTTCTAAAATGTGCCACTTTTGAACAAGACCATCCTGGGAAAATGACTGGCATGGAGTATTCCCAATGGAATACTTGGGAATATCCCAATGGATATTGTGGAATATCTTTTGAATTGCATTGCCAAGTTCACCAATTGAAGTTGCCAGCTGTTGCCCTTTTGTACAATTGATCTTTTGTTTTCTTTTATTTATTATCATAATTAGATGATTAATAGAGACAGGGGCTTTTATAAGAAACATCTGGAGGTAACAGAGCCAGAAATAAATTGTTAGTTGGGTCTTCAGAGATAGTCATCAGTTTCAAGGAAAGGAAAGCTACAATGTTAGCATTCCAAGTATGGGAAGATTGCCTCTGTTGCTCATGCCCAGGAGAGGAACTGTGTGCAACTTTAAAAGACCCCAGCAACATTAAGAAAGATTTTTACAGTACTCATAGCTAAAACTCCCCATTCAGTCCAGAAGGTTAGGTAAATTATGATGTACAAATGCATTGTGGACTTATTTTCAATTCTTCTTCCCCTAAGTCTTTTTTCAATGTTCACATGTTCATCTTCTCTCCCTTTCAGGTATAGCTTTTATATTTTTAATTTTTTATTATACTTTAAGTTCTGGGATATATGTGCAGAACGTGCAGGTTTGTTACATAGGTATACACATGCCATGGTTGTGTGCTGCACCCATCAACCCGTCATCTACATTAGGTATTTCTCCTAATGCTATCCTTCCCTTAGCCCCCACCTCCTGACAGGCCGCGGTGTGTGATGTTCCCCTCTCTGTGTTCATGTGTTCTCTCCCACTTATTTTTCAACTCCCACTTATGAGTGAGAACATGCGGTGTTTGGTTTTCTGTTCTTGTGTTAGTTTGCTGACAATGATGGTTTCCAGCTTAATCCATGTCCCTGCAAAGACATGAACTCATCCTTTTTTATGGTTGCATAGTATTCCTTGGTGTATATGTGCCACATTTTCTTTATCCAGTCTATCATTGATGGGCATTTGGGTTGGTTCCAAGTCTTTGCTATTGTGAATAGTGCCGCAATAAACACACATGTTCATGTGTCTTTATAGTATAATGACTTATAATCCTTTGGGCATATACCCAGTAATGCAATTGCTGAGTCAAATGGTATTTCTGGTTCTAGATCCTTGAGGAATCACCACCCTGTCTTCCACAGTGGTTGAACTAATTTACACTCCCACCAACAGTGTAAAAGCATTCCTATTTCTCCACATCCTCTCCAGCATCTGTTGTTTCCTGACTTTTTAATGATTGCCATTCTAACTGTCACGTCATTGTGGTTTTGATTTGTATTTCTAATGACCAGTAAATGTGTTCTATTCCCAAAGGACTCAATCTCACTGACTTCTGACCTCTTGCTTTGGTACATATTTTGAATGAAGGGCTTTCTGCTTCTAAAAGAATCTAGTCTATGATTTAGCATAATCAAAAAGTTTCTCCATACTTTTTGAATGTTTTTATGTCTAAGGTATTTTTCATCTTTTCTGAGTGTCTGTTTTATCTTCAGTAATCTAGACTCAAAATACAGGCATACCTCAAAGATATTGCAGGTTCAGTTCCAGATGACTGCAATAAAGCAAGTGACACCAATTTTTTTTTTGTTTCCCAGCACACATAAAGTTATGTTTACACTATATTGTAGTCTATTAAGTATAAAATAGCATTATGTCTAACATACCTTAATTTTAAATTTAAATTTAATTTTAAATTTTATTGCTAAAAATGTTAAGGATCATCCAAGCTGTCACTGAGTCATGATCGTTTTGCTGGTGGAGGGTCTTACCTCAGTGTTGGTGGCAGCTGACTGACTGATCAGGTGGTGGTGGCTGAAGGTTGGGGTGGCTGTGGCAATTTCTTAAAATAAGACAGCAATGAAGTCTTCCACATTGATTGACATGTTTTTATGAAAGATTTCTCCTCAGCTGTTTGATGGCATTTTTCTGACAGTAGAACTTCCCTCAGAATTGTAGTCAGTCCTCTCAAACCCTGCTGGTGCTTTATCAACTAAGTTTATGGGAAATTCTAAATCCTTTGTCATCATTTCAACAATGTTCACATGATCTTCAAGAAGACTAGAGTCCATCTCCAGAAACTACCTTCTTTGCTCTCACATAGGAAGCAACTCCTCATCAGTTCAAGTTTTATCACAAGATTGCAGCAATTCAGGCATGTCTTCAGGTTCTACTTCTAATTCTAGTTCTCTTGCTATTTTCACCACACTGCAGTGACCTCCTCCACAGAAATCTTGAACCCTTCAAATTCACCCATGAGGGTTGGAATAAATTTCTTCCAAACTCCAGTTAATGTTGATATTTTAACCCCCTTACATGAATCATGAATATTCTTAATGATATCTAGAATGGTGAATCCTTTCCAGAGGGTTTTTAATTTGCTTTGCCTAGATCCAATAGAAGAATCATTGTATATGGCAGTCATAGTCTTAGAAAATGTATTTCTTGAATGATAAGACTTAAAAGTTAAAATTAGCCTTGATCTGTGGGCTGAAGATACTGTGTCAACAGTCATTAATTTCCTTGTACATCTCTATCAGAGCTCTCGGATAATCAGTTGTGTTTCCAATTAGCAGTAATATTTTGAAAGGTATCTTCTATCTGAGCAGTACGTCTCAACAGTGGGCTTAAAATATTTAGCAAACCATGCTGTAATGGGGGGCCGAGGCAGGTGGATCACTTGAGGACAGGAGTTAGAGACCAGCCTAGCCAACATAGCAAAACCCCATCTCTACTAAATCTACAGAAAATTAGCTGGGTGTGGTGGTGTGTGCATGTAATCCCAGCTCCTCCAGAGGCTGAGGCATGAGAATCCCTTGAGCCAGGGAGGTGGAACTTGCAGAGTCAAGACTGCACCTCTGCACTCCAGCCTGGGTGACAGAGTGAGACTCTGTCTCAAAAAAAGAAATAAAAATAAACACACACACACACACACACACAAAAAAAAAAAAACTTGCTGTAAACAGATATGCTGCCATCTAGCTTTTGTTGTTCCATTTATAGAGCACAGGTAGAGAAAAATTAGCGTAATTCTTAAGGGCCCTAAGATTTTTGGATGGTTAATGAACATTGGCTTCCACTTCAAGTCACCAGCTGCATTAGCCCCTAAAAAGAGAGTCAGCCTGTCCTTTGAAACTTTGAAGTCAGGTATGGACTTCTCCTCTCCAGCTATGAATGTCCTAGGTAGCATCTTCTTCTAATAGAAGGCTGTTTCACCTACATTGAAAATCTATTGTATAGTGTAATCACCTTCATCAATGAGCCTTAGCTCATCTTCTGGATAACTTGCTGCACTTTCTACATCAGCACTTGTGGCTTCATCTTGCATTTTTATGTTATGGAGATGGCTTCTTTCATAAAGCCTCATGAATCAACCTCTGCTGTCTTCCAACTTTTCTTCTGCAGCTTCCTCATCTCTCTCAGACTTCATAGAGTTGAAGAGAATTAGTGCTTTACTCTGGATTAGGCTTTAGCTTAAGAGAATGTCATGGTTTGTTTGATCTTCTATTTAGACTACTCAAATTTTCTCCATATCAGCAATAAGGCTGTTTTGCTTTTTTGTCATTTATGGGTTCATTGGAGTAGAACTTTTAATTTCCTTCAATAATTTTTCCTTTGCATTGAAAAGCTGGCTAACTGTTTGGCACAAGACACATAGCTTTTGGCTTATCTTGGCTTCAACATGCATTCATCGCTATCTTAATTGTGTCTATCATTTGATTTTATTAATTTACCTATTTCAATGTTTTTGAGTCACAAGGAATCGGGAGGCCTAAGGAGAAAGACAGAAAAAGAGACAGAGAGAGAGAGAGAGAAAGGGCAGTGAGAGAAGGAGAGAGGCACAGGGGAATGGCTAGTCAGTGCAGCAGTCAGAAAACACACAGCATTGGTAAATCAAGTTTGCTGTCTTATATGAGCATGGTTCATGGAGTCCCAAAACAATTACAACAACAGCAAAGATGACTGATCACAGATCATCATAACAGATATAATAATAATAAAAAGATTGAATTATTGGGAGAATTGCTAAAAGGTGACACAGAGAAATGAAGTGAGCACATGTGCCTGGAAAAAAACGGCACTGATAGACTTTCTCAATGCAGCCTTGCTGTAAACCTTCAATTTGTAAAAAACACAGAATCTTCAAAGTGCCATAAAGTGAAGCCCCATGAAATGAGGTGTGCCTGTCCAATCCCTTCACCATTTCTCATTAGGATTTCTATCACCTCCATAACCTTAATGATGATTTGCAGCTGTAAGGAGGAGGGCCATATCTTAGCAGGCTTGGCTTTTCACCAATTACTTGGCTCTCCTCTGCCTTCCCCATCTCCTAGAACTACAAATTCTTTCCCTTAATCACGTAGAATATTTCTACATTCTTTAATGTCTTTTGAAGTTTTACGCTCTTATACCATGTATGTTGGTAAAACAATGTGTTCCATAATAACATAGAGCTCTTCCTAAGGAATTATAATAAACTGCTTAAAAAAATACTTATTATATGTGGAAGGGCTCATCTATCCATGCTCAATCTGTAAGTCCTCTCCTCCAAGTTTGACTTAAATATTTTCTATTTTTTGGAACTTGCCGGGCTAGAGATGATCAAATGGCAATGGAAGTAGAAGCTTTCTACCTCTTTATCTTTATGGGTAGAGTGTTAGAAAATGGGTGTAGTCAATTCAAACTACAAATAATTGAGAAAAACACTTCATAAAGTCTATTCATTGAATCAATATTACCTGGTGCTATGGTTGGAATGTTTGTCTCTCCCAAAAATTCATATGTTGAAACCTAATCACCAATGTGATGATATTAGGAGGCGAGGCCTTTCAGAGATGATTAGGTCATGGGGACAGAATCATCATGAGTTGAGAATTTTGGGTATTCAAAATTATAACATGGTAGAGTTAAAATTGATGGCTCCTAAAATAGGAGTGATCTTAAAATCATCTAGTCAAACATTCTCATTTTATAGAAGAGAAGATAGGAGATCTTGACTTGGCCGAGGCTATCTAACCAGTCCCTGATAGTGTCAGCGCCTAGCCTCTGCCTGTCTTGAATCTCACGAAAGTTCTATTACATCCTGCTGTTTCTTGGCCAGAGACAGTGATCCTGGGTAGCAACTACTCAACTTATTTCTCCAAATAGATATACATATTTCTCCATAATGGAATAAAGTACAATTCACACATGTTAAAAAATAGCCAGGATTAGATTAATATAGGGTATATTACCATCTGAAACATAATAGTGATGTGCAATTAATACAGTGTGTATAATACTAAAGATTCAACTTCTGTCAACCCGGTATCTAAACAGTTCTGAGGAGGATGAGGTGGAAAGTCTATCTCTGGAAAACCTGATTGAATGGATGCTACCTCAGCCTTCATCTTGGGTTTAAAATTACACAAACTAGTATATCATTCATGACGTTCAGCCACTTACTAATGTGATCTTGGGCAAATCACCTTTAAACTCAATCTGACTTTCCTCACTTGCTAAATAGGAATAATAACGCCTACCTTGCAGGGTTTGGTTCTGCTTTAAAATAATAATCTGCATGAGAGACTCAATCCTTGAGCATGGTATACACTAAAAGGTTATTAATTTCCCCCTTCACTCTCATTTGTCATTGCAATTTTACTTGAATTATTAACCTAAAATTAGCTTATCTATTACTTATATCCCATTTTGAAATAAAACTGATTTTATTTTTGCCCCCAGTGGGTCAGTAGAAAGACTTAAATAGTATCTTGGACACATAGTAATTCTTTTTTCCTTTTTTGTTCTAAGAAAATCCTCATTTGTGACAGAACTGCCACATAGTCCTGAAGAATAAGGAAAGTCAGGCGATGAATGACTATTTTCCAGAAGACAGGTAAAGCATATTTGGTAGATTAATTCTCAATTCACCTTCTAAGCAGAAAAGGACAAAACCCTCATTTACCAAGATTCTAAAGAGATTTCCAGGCAAGTCCCTAGCCAGCCCCACATCAGTCTTTGCTTTGAAGCATCCATTCCCCAGAGCTTGGTTTTCTTGACTAGGTCCCAAACCTTTTATTGAGCCGCAAGGCGACCGGAGGAAACAATCGGCTTCTTGCACAGACATTCACGTGTCTGGTGGCACTCAAGAGAGGGCTGGCACAAAAGTGCTTATCAGAGAATCAATCTTTTTTGCCTATTATCTTCCTTTTCCTCGGAAGAAAGTGAGTTAGTGCAATTACCTCATCTAGAACAATTACCTCACCTTAAACTGTTTATTCTTCAGAGAAAGGCGTTTGGGAGCAGGTAGCACATTGGCGGGAGACATGGATTTTTGAAAAGTACTTGATGTTGAGCGTGGGTAGTGAGGAACTGCTGGGAAGGTTGCCTTTCAAACCAAGGCTCCCTTTTCTATGGGGGATTACCAGGCAAAAGGTGAGCTCTGCTGCCATTTTGAGGACTCGATCCTGGCAGCGATAATGAGGTAGTCCAATTGGGGAGCCTGGGACTCCCCACCAACTTCCTGGGTGTGCTCTGAAATTGAGTGACCTAGGACAAGCTCTCTAAAGTTACTCCTCCAGCAGAGGGAAGAGGCAACCGTGAGGTATTTTCGAAAGCAGTTAAATAAAAATTTGATAATCTATCTAAAACAAGCCACACTTAAAAAAAAAAAAAAAAAGAGTCTTCTTTCCTTCTTCTTATAAAAGTCCAGCGCGTTTCAAAGTCCTTTTAATTGTCAGGCCCAGAGAGACATTAGAATGAGACCACAATCATGCCCTACTCCTTCCTTTAAACTATATATTCATTTCTTAAAACTACATACTATTACTACAAATAGCTATAAATTAACCTAATAATACCACATCAAACAGTATAACCCACATCCTATGACTTAACTATATATAACTAATCACTAATCGACATTATTTCAATAAATCAGTATAAATTCCTAACAATGTTACATCAGTCCACTCCCCATCCCCCTTTTTTTTGCCTTTAAGAATCCACTTATAACTACTACTAATCAAAATATATATTCAAAACAACTTAAATCTATACTCCTGAGTTGCAATCCTCACACTTGGCCCAAATAAACTCTTACTTATATTAATTTCGCCTCACCTTCTTCCTTTTTAAGTCGACACTCCTTTCCCTGATACTTACCAGAAGGCAATTCCTTGGGCTCAGATTAAAACTGACAAAAATAGGAGCCATTCGAAATGAGGGAGCTTCTGAAAAGTTTGGGGATTCCGGAGTGTTCAGGACAACAGAATAGGGAATTCGAAAAAAAAAGAAAGCAAAAATAAAAATCGATTATACAAGCCTTAATGCACCCATGATTGTTATTCCCCACTTCTTTATTTATATGAATGAAGTTAGCATAGTTGCAGCAATGGAGTAACTCCATTATTATTTTTTCCCACTACGCATTTATTTTAAGTCTTTCTTTTTCTCAGGATGTTTTCCTGAGTGATGTCTGATCTAATGGGAAAAAGTGGAAGTAGGAGAGGCAGGACTTTAGAAGGGCTCAAAGTAGATGAACAAAACGGAGGTCTCCTGGAAGCAGGTGACTGAGTTAGGCAACCGAGATGCCCACATATCTGTGCGGCGTTCGCCCCAAGAGGCCAGCCGGCTCCGCTCAGCTCCCCGCGGCGTGGCCGCATCCCCGCCGCCCGACTCCCAGCCCGCTTCCTCTCTCCGCGAGCGGGGGGGGGAGCTGCAGGCGGGGCCCGAAGCGCCCCGGGGGCACGTGGAGCGGCCTCTGGCTCACCTGCGCCTCCCGGGCCCCAGCCCAGCGCCGCCGCGTCACCGCCCCTCCCGCGGCCCCGCCCCAGCCCGGCTCATTGGCTGCCGCTCGGAGGGGAGGGGAAGGGGCGGCTGCGGGGGTCTCATTAGCGATGCGGACTCTCGCCTCCGCTCCGTAGTTCGGGGCCCGGCAGCGGCGCGAGGGCTGGGAACTGCGCGGCGGGGACTGCGGGCGACTCCGGCATCCGCGCTGGCGGCAGCGGTCGCCGCGCCGTGGGAAGCTATGGGGACGCGCCCTTTCTCGGGGTGCCCATTCAGCGGCGGCTCGGAGCTCCCTGCCCCGCTGCTTTAGGAAGCGATCGTGGAGCAGAGTCACTCTCTGAAGACTCCCGAGACCCATTCGACTCGGGACCCTCATCGCCGACCCTTTCCCGGGCTCCCGGAGCGTGAAGAAGAGCCGCCCTCCGGAACGCGGCGAGGAGCATGGGGAGAGCGGCGGCCACCGCAGGCGGCGGCGGAGGGGCGCGCCGCTGGCTCCCGTGGCTGGGGCTGTGCTTCTGGGCGGCAGGGACCGCGGCTGCCCGAGGTAAGCGCTGGGCGGAGCGGGCAGCTGGGGGCGAGGGCGCAGGGGCGCCAGCCTGACGGAGCGGGACCTGCACCGATGGCGTTGGCTTCCCAACTTGCGCCCTGCACCTCGGCGCTCCAAGCCCAACCGGATGGGAGCCGAGTGGAGGACTCCGAGGGGACCACAGCCTTCCAACCCAAGTTTGCGATCTGCCGCAATCCTACAGGTGGCTGTGACCCGGGCCCCTACCGTTTTCCTGGACCCTCCTTGCCTGCTCCATTTTCCAAGCCCTCCCCAATTGCTGCAGACTGGAGTAGCCCGGTCTTCACTCCAATCTCGCTCTCCCCTCTCCTCTCCACTTCCTCTCAAGCCGAGCTTGGTCATGAGTTAGCGCCCATAGCGATGTCGGAGAGTTCCTGGGGAGAGGGGCCAGGTGATGGGAGTGTCTGTAGGGTGGGCTTGAACAGAGAGGGTGTCTTTTCCCTTAGGGGAGGAACACCCATGCTGAAGTCCCTTCGCTCTGCGCCTAGCTTGGCACCCCTCGGGCGTCCTTAGCCCGAGGTCCCAGCCAGCCCTGGAGCTCGGGAGAGCGGCGTGCACCATCCCAGTTTAACCGCGCCTGCAGTGCCCAGCCGGGATGAGCACTTGGCCCGAGGCTGCTCACCAGGCGCCTCCTCTCCCTTCCCGGCGCCTACTCTGGCTTGGAAGCGCGGGCCCCACCGAGCCGCAGGGAAACCTCTGCTTCTTTCCGACTTAGAAGCCTAGACCCCATTTTCTTGGATCCTCTGGACTCCAGCAGAGGGAAATTTCGCAACTGGTTTCAGCTCCACCTTGAGCGAGGACAGGCAGCATCAAGTTAAAGATAAATCCCAAGGAGTTGTTTTGAAGATGATCAGAGGCAGTTTCAGACACAGCTCAAGTACCGGAGCTTTACCTTTGAAAAAAATCGGAAGCTTTGCCTTCCCGCCCTTCTTTCCCTTTTTCCTTCTCTGTGTTCCATCCATCAGGCTTAGAATATGTGATACCGTTAAATGATTTGCCTTACACTTGCCAGGGGAGAGGTGGAGCTGAGCTGACCACTTCACCTGCTCTGTTCGGTCTCCTGAACATGCTCCGACCAGCCTGGAGAGTGAAAGGGTGGAAAGGGTTGAGGACGATCACAAAAGAACCAATGTTATCTCATTTTTATAAAAGCTTATGGCGTGTTAAAAGCAGTCCGGCTGCCTAGAAAGATTTTCTTTTTAAGAGGTTGATAGAGGCTCTCCATTGTATGATCCTATTCTTTGCCCATTTGCATTTCATTTCCTGAAAAGTTTTTTTTTTTTTTTTTTTTTTTTTTTAATGGAGCGGGCTTTGTAAGAAGCAGGGGAGGTTTAAAAATGAGCGTCGGTGATTGTACACCCTGGGTTATGATGAACCACAGTTCCTTCTCGTACTGGAAGAAGCACAAGCTTCAGCCATTTAATTTACTACGTACGGCAAATGTCTCATTGCAAAGTCAGCTCTCAGTTGTTTTTAATACACTCTTATGGGAAAAGTGGGTCTTTTCTAAATGTTAATCTAAATGTCTGAGTTTCCACTTACTATTCGTGTGGAATACCTCACAGTCACTAACTCCAGGTACTCACCCTTGGAATTGGGTTGGTGACGTTGTCTTGAAGCCAGCTCGAAACAAGAGGTGGGGACATGCCAGCAGCCTCTTGGATGGAGTTTTGCTGGCTGCGAAACTAAGGCTAGCACCTCTTGTCTGCAAGCTGTTCTTTAAAGGTCTCCTGGAAAACATGCTGTACATTCTGCAGGCTTATTTACAACAAATGTCTTGCACAGATCATAGTAATATGCAAGACACATGGAGTGGAGCCGTAAATCTGACTGATATTTCCCATGTCATATTTTACATTCTGGGGCATGAGGCCCATTCCCCTTAGCAACTGTCAGAGAGTCCTCAAGAAATGAGCACTAGTCAGGCTGTGAAACCGGTGAAGCCACATGCACCTGGCTTTGCACAGTTGGGTGTAATTGGAGTTTTCAGAATAGAGGGTGTGTTTCAGTGCTTATGAAGTTCTCCCTTCCCAGAAAGGTGTCCATTCATTAAAACCAAGATAAGATGCACTGGTGTGGCATGCTTGCCTGACCACTAGTCTCACCATACTCTCTAGGATTAGCCCTAGGTTGTTCTTACTTATCCAATTAATAGTTTTTGTTCTTTAGGACTTTTCTTGTTGATTTGAAACAAGATACTTTGCTTGCCCTAACCAACGGGGTATAGAATTATGCCATTTGCCTTGCTGTTATGAGAATATTTAACAATTCAGTAGCGTTTTCTTTACCATATTTATCATTTATCTGTTTCCAAAATGATTGCACCAACTTTTTTTTTTCTTTCCTTTCCCTCCATACTTATGTAGAAACCTCTGCAAATCAGAGGGAGATTTCAAATTGGTTTTGAATATACTCTAGGAGGAAGACCCTTGGGACAAGGAAATGTTGTAGAGCCCAGTAGTGGCCCAAGAAGCAATGTTCTGTTTCCCTCCTTTGTAAGTAAGACTTAGCTCTTCAGATGAACATCTCTGCCTGTCGGCATATTGTAAGGAAGGCACTCTGGTGCCATGATCACTGTATATTTTTACACTTTCCAACTTAAAAGGAGGTTGTTTAAAAGTTATTCATGACCTGCCAAGTGCTAACTGAATCCACATCATGTTGTCATACTGATTTGTTTTTGTTCTTCAAGAAAAAAAGGGGGACTGCTGTTCATCTGCTTGTTATTTTTGCCTTAGATACTGTACATAAGATACTGTAGTCATTAAAGGCAGAGAGGAAGATAATCTTAGACAAGCTGAGCTTTCATACAATTTCTTGCTTTAAAACATTTCCTGGACAATGAAATTTTGATTGCAATAACTAGAGTAATGCATTAATGGCAAGAGAAGTACACATTTATTACATAGGCATAATAATAGTCTTGTGATTTACACATACTTAAATCCGTCTATCTGTCTAGCTCATAAAGTTTAAAATCTATAGTCATTTCTACCTTAATGAATGTTGTGAGGCCACCCTCTTCCTTCCCACTTTACTTCTTCTGTTCCTTTTCCTCACAAATCTTTCTCTTCCTAGGACTATGAGAAAGAGTCTTTTTCCCCTATTTCCTGCCAGACTTATTTTTTCCTGATTCTTGGGTTGTGCTCTTATTTTGAGCAGCCCAGTGGCACCTTCTTAAGAGATCTTTTAAGCATCTCAGTTTTTAATAAGAGATTAATTGTTCTGACCTAGCCCTATAATGATAGCACTTGTCACCCTTTGCATACTTTTTTTGCTCTCCAGATGACCTATCGGTGGGTCTGTGGTTCTTTAAGTAGTACCTCACAGGGGAGGGAAACATTTGGAGCTGTGGATCCTTTCTGAGCTCTCTCAGGACTGGATGACTGAATCCGTCAGGTAGTTCTACACTGCGCTGTCTTATTGATTAGGAAATCACTTTTCTGTTTATTGTCTCAATGCTTCATAAATTTGTTTCTATTGTCCTCTTCCTACCAAATGCAGTACCCAACTTAAAGCACTGCCAGTGTTTATCAGGGAATTGGTTTATTGGGAGATACTGCATGTTTGATATCCTTCCCTTCTGCTTTTTTTTTTTTAATATCTAGGCTAGAGACTCAGACATGTATTAAAATCTAATCCCAAAGACAAGTGATTTATTCCATAGCATCCTCTTAAGGAAGGGGGTGGTGGTGGTGTGTGATGCCCTCATAATGGGAAGGCACATGTGTTCACAGGGAGCCCAGATGTGCCCTCCTTCTTGATTACACCTTTGCCATTAATGCTGATTGTCCCTTCGTCCAGGCTGTTACTTGGCCAGCAACATCATTGTCTTCTCTTCCTTCCTCCTCCTTCTGATACCTTCATGAACTAACTGCTCAACAGAATAGATCAATGGAAACGTTCCCTATTTCTATTTCATTCTTAGTCACATATTCTATGTAGAGACACTTATTTTCTCCCTCCTTCTTTCTTTTCCTTTTCTTTTTTCCTTTCCTTTCCTTTTTCCTTTTTCTCTTTTCTCTTTTCTTTTCTTTTCTTTTTTGAGACAGGTTCTCACTCTGTCATCCAGGCAGGAGTGCAGTGGTGCCATCATAGCTCACTGCAGTGGCGAACTCCTAGGCTCAAGTGATCCTCCCACCCCAGCCTCTTGAGTAGCTGGGACTGTAGGCATGCATCATCACACCCGGCTCAGTAATTTTTTGTGTGTGTTTGTTTGTTTGTAGAGATTAGCTCTCACTATTTTGCCCAGGTTGGTCTTGAACTCCTGGGCTCAGGTGATCCTTCTGCCTTGGCCTCCCAAAGTGCTAGGATTACAGGTATGAACCACCACATCTGGCCTCACCCCTTTACTTTCTAAATGGCTACTGCCGGCATAAGACCTATTATCATGTTGTTAGCACTCTTTTTGTATTGTACCTGTTCCTTAAAATAATAAATACATTTCTGCAACTTTGTTTGAATATGAAATAATACTTACATGAAATAATAGTAATACTTATTAGTAATACTTTCATACTTAGTTGAGTATGAAATAATACTCCTAATAATAGTACTTACTTCATGTGTGAGAGTCATAATTCTAAATGCTCTACAAACATTAACTGATGTAATCCTGAAGATAACTCTTTGAGGTAAGTACTGTGATTACCCCCATTGGTAAGATAGGAAAAGAGGGACACAGGATTGAAAGCTTGCCCAAGGCCATGGAGTTAGGACATAGTAGGGCCTAGATTTGTACCTACTCCATCTGACTCCAGGGCCCACAACAAAGACAATTTTTCTGAACTATGCAGAAAAGAAAATGACCCTTGTATTTTGATGACAAAAGTACTCAAATGATATCTTTATTACTATCAAGAGGCATAGAGGAATTTAGAGTACCTTAAATAAGTCTATAAATATGTTCAGATAAATCTGAAAGATTTGTGTTGTTTGAAAATAACCGCCCTCTCCCCATTCAGCTTACTATACTTTGGGATTGGATTCACACTTAAAATTCTGAGTGCCAGTTTCCAATATGATAGCTTGCTTTTGTTTTCAATTTTGAATTTCGGCAGAAAATATGACTCTGATTGAATACGCCATCCATGGAACGGCAGATCCCACGAGACTATTTGTTGCATGTCTTGTATTTTTAGCCTTGTTTGCCAGGGAAATGTGGAGCATGAGATTTGAGAATAGATTGTTAACACCAGAGGCTGCTGTTTCTGCTGTTTTGGGTACTCCTGCTGCTGCTCTTGTGAGGCAGATGGCTAGATTCATTTATAGAAAATAGATATTCGTTCTATTTTGCATTTCCACTTTGAAAAGAACTTTTAATTGTTTGTGCCACATTGCATCGTATGGCCTTATTGTGTGCATACACACGCTGTGCGTAGATAATTTTCAGAATTAGGTGGATGTTAATGTATTCATTTTGGATTGTGTTATCTGAAATCCACTGCTAATTCCTGTGGTTTTGGAATTTTCTCTTGAAAGGAGTATGTTTTCGCTGTGTAAGTATTTTGTGCTCACCCTACCACCACTCCCCCCACACCACTTCACTGAATTCAGTGATAGAAATATGAGGGTTGTGTTTATGGGGCTAAAGTAGAAACAATAACCAAGTAGTAACATTTTTCAGATGATATCAGGCCACTATAGAGCATAAAATATTTCTGAATATTGTTTCTATCAGGACAAGGATAAAATGAGGTCAGTATTCTTCTTATATGACCAGTCTCACTTTTTTTTTTTCAAACTTCAGAGTAGCTTTTATTTTTTATTTTTAAATTTTAACACTTTTTAAAATTGACGCATAGTACATGTACATAGTTTTGGGGTACAAGTAATAACTTAATACATTAATATAATTAGTAAAGATCAAATCAGTGTACTGGGTTATCTATCACCTTTTGATATTTATCTTTTCTTTATGCTAGAAACATTTGAATTGTTCTCTTTCAGCTATTTTGGAATATGCAATAGATTATTATAAACTATAGTCACCCTACTGATCTATCAGACACTGGGTCTTATTCTATTAAGTGGTATATTTGTACCCATTTATCAACTTCTTTTCTTTTGATAGTTTATTTTATAAATGAGGAGACTGAAAAAGTTGAAAGCTGTCTTCCAAGAGAGGTCAATGTTGGCTTTATTTAATGCAAATATTGACTTTCTGCCCCCAAATTACTGGATTCATAAGGTGCAAAAGAACCCTCCTTCCCAGAAAGATTGGTACAGGTACCCCCACCACTCCAGCCCACATTGTATTTAAGGGTATTTTTCCACAGGTGGGAAAATATCACTGTAACCACGTGGGATTTGAATAAGAAACTTTACAGATGTTTTGTCGTTACCTAAATTGAATGCTATGGCTTCCCAGTCAGATAAGTCAGAGGGGAAATGACATCACAGACATTTGGGAAGGTAAGTAACTGGTAGGCAGGCATAGGAAGGAGAAGATGCAAGAGGCCACAGTGAAGAAACTGTCTGAACTACTTCAAGGGACTCACCACCACTGGGATGACTATGCTTTGTGTGATACAATTCACAGGTGTTGGCAGCTTATTATTTTATTTATTTATTTATTTATTTATTTTTGAGATGGGATCTCGCTCTGTCACCAGGCTGCAGTGCAGTGGCAGGATCTTGGCTCACTGCAACCTCTGCCTCCCAGGTTCAAGCAATTCTCCTGCCTCAGCCTCCCGAGTAGCTGGGATTACAGGCATGCACCATTGTGCCTGGCTAATGTTTGTATTTTTACAGACAGGGTTTCACCACGTTGGTCAGGCTGGTCTCAAACTCCTGACCTCGGGATCTGCCCACCTCAGCCTCCCAAAGTGCTAGGATTACAAGCATGAGCCACCGTGCCTGGCCAGCAACTTATTATTAAAGAGAACGTATTTACTCAATATTGGAGAAGATTTGCCTCTAAATAAATATCTGGTAGTTTAGGGTTGCTTAGAAGTCATTGGTGTCTTCTGTTAGCAACAGTACTTATTTAGTAGTTAACATCTTTATTTTAATTTAGTGTAATAAACCTACTGGGAGAGAAGGGGAAGTCAAATGATCATGGGTTATGGAAGCTAAGCTGGTAATATTTGAAACTCACAAATCAGTGCTTTTCAGATGTTAATGTGCATTTGAATTACTGCAGATCTTGTTAAAATGCACATTCTGATTTAATAAACCTGGGGAGGGGCCTGAGGTTCTGCATTTCTGATAAACTCCCAGATGACACCATCTGGGGGCCATGGATGATAGTAATTCTTGTTTTCTATTTTCAATATTGTTTTTTCTTTTGCAAGCCAGTATGAAGTGGAATTCCATGTAAGAATATTTTTAAAATGCCAATTGAAGAGTAAGAAAACACAAATGTCAATTTTAACTCAGACAAACAGCCACTTATAAAACAAATAGGCATTCTGAGGGCGCCGTCCTGATGCAATATAAAGCATTTATAAAGAAAGATGCTGCTCCAGTTTCACAATATTTTAAAAGTCTTGGATTTCCTTTTGAGCTAATTGGGGTCTTATATCTGCATCTAATTTATTTCTTGTCATAAAGAGGAAATTGACTCACCCAGAATTTTACCAGTTTGCCCAAAGTCAGATTTTTGTTAAATAAGAGGCCTTTCTAACTTTCTGTAGCACTCTTTCACGTTATTCTCTTGGCAGGAGCTACATATGCTTAAGAATGATCCGAAGTTCAGGATAATGAGGGGATGAGGCTATAGTTAAGCAAGAGATAGAATGAGAACAGTTGTTTTAAAAAAAACAGAGCAGTGAGTCCATATGGGGTAGTGATGTTTCCCAAGCGGTTGGATCCTTATCCCAACATGGTGTGGAGGTTGTGTCAGGCCCCTCTGCCTTTGATGCAAGTTCCATCTCATTCACTTTTACTTACCCAGTACCTGATAGGGCTTGTCCCATAGCACATGTTGAATAATGTGTGTTACTCGAACTTTATTAAGGCATAAATATTTAGAATAAAATTTCAAAAATCTAATCAATACTGTGATAAAACCCTTAGGAAACTTTATTCACCAGAGGAAGAATAAAATAGTTGTAAGAGGGTTTGACATTTGTTTTAGACAGATACTAAGGCCTACATTCCTAGATAGATTCTTCTAGAAAGATGATTAAGTGACATCTATCATGTGGTCCTATTATGCGTGGCTGTTTAATTCATGTGCATGCAACTTAACATTTTTAGGGGACTCACTTAATTCTGATTGCTTTGTATCTTTGTACCCGCCCTAATATTGAACAGATGATGAAATTAAGGTTGACTTTAGAGATTTTTTGACCAAAGTCGAACAAACCTAAACAGGTAGTGATAAACAGTGCTAGGACTAGAAGCCAAGCCTTCATGGTTTCAGGGCCTTTTCGATGATGTTACCATGTAATTCTATTTTATTAGCACATGGATTGATTATACTGAGGTGGGATGATACAGCACTTCACTCATAGTCCATTTGACAGGGATGTGGATGTATAAGCATCGGAGACAGAAAGAGAAATAAATGGATAAAAATTCATTTCACTGCCTATTGTGCCTTCTTGGTCTGTAGGGTGGTATGTTTCTCATGGTTATAAACAGAAATGGCCCTGTCTGTGACAAAGGGCTGTCACAAATGTGTCAGGAATGATTGGAGGACAGTAACTTTATGAATATATTAAAAATAACATGCTGTAGTATGGAGTAATTGATGTGTAGAATATTCTGAAGAACTTTTGAAAAATCAGGGGATTTAAAGTAGTTTATTAAAGTAAGTAAAATAACAAATTACAGTAGTTTTTCTCAGGTTTTGTTTTTAAAGATGCTATTACAGGCTGGTCACAGTGGCTCATGCCTATAATCCCAGCACTTTGGGAGGCTGAGGTGGGAGGATGGCTTGAGGCCTGGAGTTTGAGACTAGCCTGGACAACATAGCCAGACTCTCTTCTCTGCACATTTTTTTTTTTAAAGTTAGCTGGACGTGGTTGTTCGTGCCTGTAGTCCCAGCTACTCGGGAGGCTGAGGTCAGAGGACTGTGTGAGCCCAGGAATTTGAGGTGACAGTGAGCCATAATCACTGCATTCCATTCCTGGAGACAGAGCAAGACCCTGTCCCTCCAAAAAAATTAATTAATTAAATAAATATGCCATTAGAGACACCAATTTTTTAGAAGTATACTAGCTCCTCAATCTGCGTACTTTTCTAAATACCTCGTCTTTATTATTACTTTTGAGTGTATGTGCTTTATTTTTACTTTCTGTGTCCAGTTGTAAAGCGAAATTCTTCTGATTTGTGTTCGAAAGCAGTTTAGTGGCACAATACAATTAGACTTATAATAACAATTTCCATCAATATGTCATTAAGAAGTGTCTAGCCTGTTTTTTTTAAGAGAGATGGAAAAAAAATACAGAGCACAAAATACAGTTCTTTGCCAGAGAACTATAACTGTGTTGTAAGCCTTTTGAAAGGAACTGGGAAAAGAAAGAATCTATCCTTCCTCTGAATAGACAGCCCTTGTTTCTCTCTCAGTCTTGGGACCAGAAGCTGCAGTGATTACTAGCAGCTTGTATCGGGAGGTTTCCAAAGTTGTTTCTCTTAAAAAAAGCAATCAGGATGTTCACAGGTTTTGTCAGTGTGAGGTGTGTGGGAGGGATATAAGGGTTTGGGGGTTTGCTATAAAGAAATAACAGGTTTGTTATTAATTTTATTTTTCAACTTAGAGCAAAAAATAAAAATATCCATCTGATGTTTTCTAAAGTTTAGCAGCTAACTTGCAATGCACATCAGTCTCCAGGATATCAATGTGAAAAGACAGCTCTAACCTACCACATTCTGCAGCGGAGAAGACCATTGTAGAGTCAATTATTAATAATTGTCAAGGTGATAAGGACTGTAATTCATGGATATCTGTGTGTATTATATATTAGTAGAATGTCATATATCATCATCATAGCAAACTTAGATCATTAAAGTTATATGCCATTAATTTAAATGGCATTAGTAACACTTAAACTTGGGATGTAATCACAATTTTGACTCAAAAGTCAGCTGCTTAATTCTGCTAACCATCACTTCACTCTCCATGGTGTCTCCCATCTAACCCCCTATGCTCGGTCTTTTCTTGTTTCCTTTCTCCTCTTCAAGTCAAAACTTCCTTTCCATTTAAGCAATGTGGGGGGCTAGAAAGTTCACAATTATGTGTACTTGAAACATCACTTTTTTCTCTAGTTCTTTTTATTTGTAGGAGAAGCAGTGACTAAATTGTCATTAAGGCTCCTTCCTGCTCTGAACTTCCGTGATGCCGCCCTTTGTTTTCTGTACCGTTTATTCACATTATTTTTTTATCATTTCAGGAAGCTTTTCTTGGCATTTTAAATATGCATCAAACCTTCAGTAAAGGGATAATACTCTGGAAATAGAAATTGCAGGACAAGTTAATGGGACTTCATAATGACGTTGGTAATCCTTGGCTTAAGCATTTTCAAGAATGTACCAACTATAAGAGAAATCTATTTTTTTTTGTTTTGATTTCTCTTAAATCAGTGGCTGTAGGTTAATGCATACATGTATAACTAATGCAGAAGTGGTTTGGCAGGAGAAGACCTGGAGGAGTTAGGCACCCTCTGCCATAGCTCACCATTGCTCAGTTGGGTGTATGGGACCCCTCTTGCTAGATTGACTTCTTTCTTTTTTTTAGTAGATACCAGATATATGAAATTTCATGTTAAACTTGCAGATCTGAAGTCTTATCAAATTGTTTTCACGAAGCATCACGACTCCAGCAAAACTCACAAGATATGGCACTCGGCCCTCCAGTTTGTCTCAAATCAATGACTTGGTCATGTTTTGTTAAGAGATTTAAAGAATCAGGGAGCCAGTTGGTCCTCATTTTCAGTAATTATCTTCGCTTGAGCTGTGGGCATACAACACTTTTTCTAGATTTGTAGAATAGTGTTATGTCATGGCCCTTTATTGAACACTGATTTGATCACTGAGTTTCTGTGGCTCTCTGTTTCCCATTTGCAAAGAAAAACAATCATAAAATTACATTGCTAAAAAGGGCCCTAAAATTTCCAGGCCAAAGTCCAAATTTGTACATGAGAAAAAAAGGTGTTGAGGAGTGAAGTTGCTTGCTTGGCTTTTAGAGGTCATTTCCGTCCGTCCCTGCCCATGAATCCAGGTCTTCATTTTCTCAGTGTTGTCCTTGCCTCTTCCCTTTCAGGCTTATAATAACAAAAGTAATCAATAGAGGCACAAAGGAATTCAAAAGAATGATACCAGAAGACTAAAGACTATTGATCATTTTACCCTTCTGTTAAAGGATGTTTTCCTTTTATTTAAATGTTTATATTTTTCTAAAATATCTTTGAAATTACAGAGATTTTTTTTTTTTCCTTTGGCTTACAGAATGCTGAGGTCATGATATGATGGATGCAGTTTGGTGTAGCAGAAATAATATTGTAAAAAAGGTTTGCATTATAGATTCGTTTTGTGTTTGGGTGAAAGTTAGGGTGCCTTAAGTCTTAATCTTAAGCTTTTGTTCCAGTTACTTAACATCTGGATCCTTAATAATAAATTTGTTCAGTATGAATCTACTAGGAGATCCTAAATAACTTCTCTCTCTCTCTATATATATATATGTATAAAATATATAAAATATATATAATATATAAATATGTATAAAATATATAAAATATATATAATATATAAATATATATTATATATAAAATATATATAATATATAAATATATATTATATATAAAATATATATAATATATAAATATATATTATATATAAAATATATATAATATATAAATATATATTATATATAAAATATATATAATATATAAATATATATTATATATAAAATATATATAATATATAAATATATATTATATATAAAATATATATAATATATAAATATATATTATATATAAAATATATATAATATATAAATATATATTATATATAAAATATATATAATATATAAATAAATATTATATATAAAATATATATAATATATAAATAAATATTATATATAAAATATATATAATATATAAATAAATATTATATATAAAATATATATAATATATAAATAAATATTATATATAAAATATATATAATATATAAATAAATATTATATATAAAATATATATAATATATAAATATATATTATATATAAAAAATATAATATATAAATATATATTATATATAAAAAATATAATATATAAATATATATTATATAAAATATATATAATATATAAATATATATTATATAATATATATAATATATAAATATATATTATATAAAATATATAATATATAAATATATGTTATATAAAATATATAATATATAAATATATGTTATATAAAATATATAATATATAAATATATGTTATATAAAATATATAATATATAAATATATGTTATATAAAATATATAATATATAAATATATGTTATATAAGAAATAGATATAATATATAAATATATGTTATATATGAAATAGATATAATATATAAATATATGTTATATATGAAATAGATATAATATATAAATATATGTTATATATGAAATAGATATAATATATAAATATATGTTATATATGAAATAGATATAATATATAAATATATGTTATATATGAAATAGATATAATATATAAATATATGTTATATATGAAATAGATATAATATATAAATATATGTTATATATGAAATAGATATAATATATAAATATATGTTATATATAATATATATATTTATAAATATAAATATATGTTATATATAATATATATAAAATATATAAAAATATATAATATATATAAAATATATAAAAATATATAATATATATAAAATATATAAATATATATAATATATTATATAAATATATAAAATATAATATATAAAAATATAATATATAATATATATAATATTTATATTTTAAAAATATATTTTATATATAATTCTATAATAATATAAAAATATATAATATATTATATAAATATATAATATATTATATATAAACATATATAATATAAATATATAATATATTATATATAAACATATATAATATATATTATATATTTTTATATAATATATTATATATAAACATATATAATATATATTATATATGTTTATATAATATATATTATATAAAAATAATATATAAAATATATATAATATATAAAAGTTATATATAATATATAAAAAAATATATATATTATATATATAAAATTATATATAATTATATATAAAATCTACATAAAATATATATATTTTGAAGACAGCTTTCCATGTTGGCAGTAATATGTCCATGATATCCTCAAAAAGCCATAAATTTACATCCAAAAAGAGTGACTGGATATACTTTTAAAAGCTTTGGTGGCCAGGCGTGGTGGCTCACGCCTGTAATCCCAGCACTTTGGGAAGCCAAGGCAGATGGATCACCTGAGGTCAAGAGTTCGAGATCAGAGTGGCTAACATGGCGAAACCCCATCTCTACTGAAAATACAAAAATTAACCAGGTGTGGTGGCAGGTGCCTGTAATCCCGGCTACTCGGGAGGCTGAGGCAGGAGAATCGCTTGAACCTGGGAGGTGGAGGTTGCAGTGAACCGAGATTGCACCACTGCACTCCAGTCTGGGCAATGGAGGGAAACTCTGTCTCAAAATAATAATAATAATAATAATAATAATAATAATAATAATAATAAAATAAATAAATAAAAACTTCGGTTGCTTCTTCTCATGCAGTTCTGAGTTTCTTTTAAAGTGAATTCTGCATCTCTTGTGACCATAATAACGTGCAAAAAGCAATCCCTGTATAGAGCTTATGAAACTCTTGTGCCTCTATTATGATGATTCATGTTGAAGCCACCTTGCTGGAGAAGTGTTGAAAACTCTTGATTCTTGGAGATTAGGTGTCAAAATATTCAAGGTTTGGCTATTTTTAGCAATTTATCAGTGAAGTGTCTTGCTGCTAGAAATAGTGGTCAGGCTTTGAATCTACAAATCCCTTGTCTTCACTGAAAGCCATTTTTTTTTTTCAAAATTGCAGAAAGGAAAACATCTGTAGTATTTTCACCTAGGGTTAGGTGAGAACATCATAGGTGCTTTGAATGTGTGTGGGCATTTACTTTTTTTTGTTTTTTTAAGTTATTTAAAAGTTTAAATGGTTTTATTGGAACACGTTAGATTAAAAGATGAGCCCCAAATGTTTAATGTAACCCTTGTTTATAGAAACACCCATGTGTGTAATTGAAATTCTGAAGAGAAAGAGTTTAATTCTGAAGTTCTCAGTCAGCTGATGCCAAGGCATTGATCTCAGAGCACTTAAGTCAGAATCTCAGTGGGAAGGACCCAGGGTTTTGTTTGTTGTTGTTTGCTTGTTTGTTTGTTTGTTTTAAGTTCCTCAGGTTGTTCCCAATTTGGGAACTTAAGACTGAGAGCCATGGATTTATTTATTTATTTCCAAATAATTTCAACTTATATTTTAGATTCAGGGGGTGCATGTGCAGGCTTGTTACCTGAGTATACTGTGTGATGCTGAGGTTTGAGAATGATTGATCCTGTCACCCAGATAGTAAGCATAGTACCCAATAGTTAGTTTGTTTTTCTTTTTTGAGATGGAGTCTCGCTCTGTTGCCTAGGCTGGAGTGCAGTGGCACGATCTCGGCTCACCGCAACCTCCGCCTCCCTGGCTCAAGCAAATCTCCTGCCTCAGCCTCCCGAGTAGCTGGGATTACAGGTGCATGCCACCATGTCTGGCTAATTTTTTTCTATTTTTAGTAGAGACGGGGTTTCACCATGTTGACCAGACTGGTCTTGAACTCCTGACCTCAGGCAATCCGCCCGCCTCGGCCTCCCAAAGTGTTGGGATTACAGGCATGAACCACCGCTCCTGGCCCCAGTAGTTGCTTTTTCATCCCTCCTTCCCCCACTCTAGTAGTCCCCAGTGTCTCTTGCCGCCATCTTTATGTCCATGTGTACCCAGTGTGTAGGTCCCATTTATAAATGAGAACATGCAGTATTTGGTTTTCTGTTTCTGAATTAATTTCCTTAGGATAATGAGAGCCATGGATTTAATGCATGCATTGATTGTGTATAAACATAGAAACTGTCCTTTCTTGAGAATTCAAGAAGTTATTTGAAGATTCCTATAATGACAAAAGCATAAGGTATGAAGATGACCGCCAATGGTTCACCTCTTCCTCCCTATTAGGCCTTATCTTTCCACCTTGCATCCTATACTCGTCTGTTCTCATGTTGCTATAAGAACATACCTGGGACTGGGAAATTTATAAAGGAAAGATATTTAATTGACTCACAGTTCAACATGGCTGGGTAGGCCCTAGGAAACTTATAATTATGGCAGAAGGGGAAGAAAACATGTCCTAATTCACATGGTGGCAGCAAGAAGTGCTGAGCAAAAGGGGGAAAAGCCCTTTGTAAAACCATCGGATCTCATGAGAACTTTCGTGAGAACCACCCCCATGATTCAATTATCTCCCACCGGATCCCTCCCACAACACGTGGGGATTATGGGAACTACAATTCAAGGTGAGATTTGGGTGGGGACACAGACAAACCGTATCACATCCTAAACCCTTTGCATGAGTGAAATTGAATGTTGGCACACAACGTTTCACCTTTTGGGAGCTAGCCTTTTCTTGCTAGGGTAAAAGAATTCAGGTATTAATAAAACTAATGTGATTATATGGAAAGATTATACAGTATGGAAGGAACATTTTAAGAACATGAGGTTAGAGATTGTGCCATGTTTCTCTTGTGGACAAGAACATAGGGGCCCATAAATGGAGATTCCTTGTTTTCCTTTAACCTTCATCTAATGTGTCTTAGGTATTACATCTCAGGATGTAAATGATAAGAGGCCATATTTATGAAAGGACTAATATTTTTGTACTTATCTTAGTGTCTGAAGGATGTAGGCCTGGTAGTTCCTCATACGGAGTAGGGTGAGGCCCTAGTCACTGTCTACTGTTAACCAAAAGAGGTGGGCAGGAACCCCTGGCCTACACACCTTTGCCATTGTAGGAAATATAGCATAGGCATTACATCTAAAGCAAGCTTTCCTAATATTACTACCCTGTTCCTAACTACCAATGGTTCTTTTTTTTTTTTTTTTTTTTTTGAGATGGAGTCTCACTGTTGCCCAGGCTGGAGTGCAGTGGCGCGATCCCGACTCACTGCAGGCTCTGCCCCACGGGGTTCACGCCATTCTCCAGCCTCAGCCTCCTGAGTAGCTGGGACTACAGGCGCCAATGGTTCTTTATTTATGAAAAGCCCCTTGTAAAACCTGGTTCAAGTAAAACATTTTGTGATTTATTTAATTGTTGCATATGAATAAATATAGTTTTTAAAAAGTATCAGATGAAAATGTATATCTATGAACTTACCACTATACTTAGAAGTAAAGTTATCAACATCTTTCACTCCTCTACATATTTCTCCTTTAACCCATTTTTCTGGTCCTTCTTAAAAGTAATCACTCTTAAATTTTGTGCTTATTCTGTTGTTTTAAAAAATAGTTTAAACAAATATGTGTGTACTCCTAAACATAGGTTACTTTTGCTTCTTTTTGAGATATATTTAAATTTTATTGTGGTCTACATATTCTTCAGCAGTTTGTTTTTTTACCCAATATTATGTTTCATCTGTATTACTGCATTTACTATCCCTAGTTGATTCACTTCCCTGAAGTACAATATTCAGTTGTGTGGCTATACCATAATTTAGTTATTCATTTTGTTGTCAGTAAAATTTGGGTGATTATCAGATTTTTTTCTAGCATGAAAAATGCTACTAGGAACATTCGTGTATGTGTCTAATGGTATACACTTTCAAGTGTTTTTTTATATATGTGAGAGTAGATTACTTGGACCTTGAAGATGAACATGCTATCTTTTCCAGATACTGCCAATTATTTCAGCAAGATATGAGTTCCCATCATTTTATATTTGTCAGCATTTGATATTTCCAGGCCTAGTGATTTCCAGTCATTTACTGGATATAATATGATTATCTCTGTAGGGAGTTGATTTCCATCTCCTCAATTACTAATAAAGTTAAAAATCTTTTCATATGTTTTATTGCCATTTTTATTTCTTCTGTAAAGTACCTACTCATGGCTTTTTCTCATTTTTTGTTTGTCATCATTGAATTATAGGAGTTTTGAGAGAGTGAGCAAGCTAGTCTGTGTGTGTGTGTGTGTGCGTGTGTGTGTATCTCCTTAATGTGTTATATGTGATTGGAACTTCTTCTCCCACTTTGATGCTTCCTTTCTTCCCCACTTGTTTTAGGTATCTTCTGATGAAGTGGAGTTATTTATGGTATGTTCTCAGGAGCTACAATTTTTAATTTCAATGTAATCAGTGTTTTTAATTATCTTATGTTTAGCTCTTTTGGGTCATGCTTAGGAAATTCTTCTTAAATTTCATTGATAACAGTCTTCCATACTTTCTTCTAAAGTCTTATATTTTGGCCTTTCATATTTATTCCTTTAATCCACCTGGAGTAGATTTTTTTTTTCCCTCTGTAGAGTTTGGAGTAGAGATTTTATTTCCTTTTTTTTTTTTTTTTTTTTTCTTTTTTTTTGAGACAGAGTCTTGCTCTGTCGCCCAGGCTGGAGTGCAGTGGCACTATCTCAGCTCACTGCAACCTCCACCTCCTGGGTTCAAGCGATTCTCCTGCCTCCGCCTCCCGAGTAGCTGGGACTACAGGCATGTGCCACCACGCCCAGCTAATTTTTTGTATTTTTTTTAGTAGAGATGGGGTTCCACCATGTTAGCTAGGATGATTTCGATTTCCTGACCTTGTGATCCGCCCGCCTCGGCCTCCCAAAATGCTGGGATTATAGGTGTGAGCCACCACGTGGCCTCATTTCATTCTTTCATGTGGATAGGCAGTTGTTCCAGAAGTATATAGTGAGGAGCTTCTTCTTTCTCTAATGATCTGCAATGTCACCTTCATCATTTATGAAGGTTGCACATATACATGGGAATTTTTTAGTCTGGCATTAAATGTTCTTCAAAAGAGTTCCTGCAAACGTTTTTGTTTTTATTTCCTACTGTTCCCTTCACGTACTCTCTACTGAACTAAACTCTGTAATGTGTCTCGAAACTGTCCCACAATTTTCCTTGTCTTAAGAGTTTAATGCTTTCATACACCTCTCACATTCAGCCTTGTGCTATTGTCTTAGGTATATTTATTTCTCTTTTGCTCCCAATTATGTTGTAAACTTTTGGAAGCAGGAAGGATATATTGTTCATCTTTGGTAGCATTAAACAATGAATACAGTGTTTTTTACTTAATAGATATTTGGTAAATCATTGAACTAAATTGGGGTTTGGAATTGAAGGTCTTAGAAATTACCTGACCACTCCCATTATATTTGCCCATCCATGATCACTGAGATTTATAGAGATTAGATGCAATGCCCAGTTTCACATATGTTTTTGCATCACTGTCTCTTTTTTTCTTGAGCTTATTCCAGAGTGTCTTTTAATATCCATTCCATGATCAAATGGCTGAACTATTAAAATGCTGTCCAGAAGTGTAAAGCAATATGAAGATGCTAGAAAAGTTGAAGAGACACATATATGGTAGGTCCAAGACCATTACACTTACTGAGTCCATTACTAAAAATGATGTTCACTTAACATCAAAACACTCAGGATTACCCAAGCACAATATACTGATTTGCACCTCTGCCTTTGTTCATGCCCCTTGTTCAGGAGAACTGCTTTCATGTGCTACTGTCCATAGATCTTCTCTATCCTTACAGATTAATTTCTTCCTTTTGAATGCTATGTTTCCATACTTTGACAT
The DNA here is from genome assembly GCF_000001405.40 of Homo sapiens. NCBI lineage: Eukaryota > Metazoa > Chordata > Mammalia > Primates > Hominidae > Homo > Homo sapiens. Next base: position 35,254,738 of record NC_000008.11, read on the forward strand.
TCCTTCTGCACCATTCAGACCATATTTTAGTTCTTTTTTATGGTATCTCTCACTTTTGATTGTCACCCCTTAAGTCAAAGACAATTTTTTCATCTGTGTCTTCTCAACACCCAGCACAGGGCTATGTTTGGTAAAAATTAGGTATCCAAGATGTACTAAATGAAAAAATCAAAGAAGCAAAAATTTTTGAAATTTCAAATGAGCTTATAAATAAGCTCTGTTATGTACTTATTGTAAGAAGTTTGAAAATAGAGAAAAGTATTAAAGAGAACAGAAATCTCTAAAAAATCCCAAAATAACCACCTCAGGGGAGTTCTTAAGTTAGAAGCCACATCTCTCATGGTACCCCTGTTGATCTGCAGGTCTCTGCTGGTTTCTCTTAGTCGCCACCATTTTGGAAGAGGAACATCCAGTCACTCAAGTGCTAAACTAACACTCTAGCGTTGCTCTTCTTATCATCTCAGAATGTTTGCTTCCTGGTAACTGGTGCTAAGTATCTTGTATGTTCTGTTACACATCTTCAATGCTTTGGATAATGTCAAAATACCACATAGTTGTTATTTTTAACAACTGGTCATCCTGAGTAGACGCACCCATCCATCATAGTGACTCAAGGCCACCAGTAGCAAGCTCTTCAGAAAAGTTATGGAGTAGTACTTTGTGTTAAATGAGCTAATTAAGAGACACAAACCAACATCATTTTTTTTTAATCTCTCAGGATGAGGATGTTGTGTGGATAGATTACTATTCTGATATTTAGAACAGAGGTTTGTTTGTTTAAAAATTGTATTTATTTAATCTCCCAAAACAACTGAGAAGGCTGGTTTTTCTACTCCTGGTATGCTACCATATACTAGATTTGTCTCAGCATCAGATCTTGGCTAATATGAGCTCTTCTGACAACTGTAGACACAGAGAAATTGGGGTGTGTTTAGTTAGAATATTTACTGTTCTTATGTGTGTTGAGAATATCTCAGTTGTGGTATAGCCTCACCTCTAAGCAATGACATCATGACATATATTCAAATTATATTCTGCTTTTTTTGTCTTAGATAGAAATAAACAATTACATGGAATTTTCATAGGCAAATTAATTAAGATGAGAGCAATCAGTCTTTGCCTAGTCTCCTTCCCACCTTCTTCTCAAAGTGATTTATTAATAAACTGCATCTGAAATAATTAAGAGGTAGAAAATAAAAATCTGAAGACCATATTTCATAGCAGACTTCAATTTTATATGAAGGTCTCAATTTATTCATTCCTCCATCACCACCATCTTTCATAGCCAAAGTACTCATCTCTAAATGGAAGGTTTCTAAAATTCCTCATCTATAGAAGTGCCTTCCCCTATGTGTATACACACATACATGGTGTTAGTGTTTTGTAGCTAATGGTTCCCTATGTAGCACGTTGAATGTGTGTTTATATTTCTTCATAAAGCACCTCGATGGCAGGGACTTGTTATTTTCTAAATCTTTGTATACTTGTTTGGGACATTTTAGTCACTGAAGGAATAATAGATGAGTGGATGAATAGGTACCAACTACAATGAATATTTGTGGGTTAATTGAGCTCTGACTGCATAACTTTTTTTAATATACTTTAAATTCAGGGGTACCTGTGCAGAACATGCAGGTTTTTACATAGGTATACATGTGTCATGGTGGTTTGCTGCACCCATTAACCCGTCATCTACATTAGGTATTTCTCCTAATGCTATCCCTCCCATAGCCCCGAACGCCCTGACGGGAGTTTTATGTGATAATATGAGTGTCTGCTATGGGCCATTCATTGTGCTAGATGCTTACCATAAAAATGTCTTCATTTGTACAATAACCTTATAAAATGAACATTATTATGTGCTTTACAAAAAAAAAAAGAAACTAAAACTCAGGTATATACTTTCCTAAGTCCATACTTCCAAGAAGTGGAGCAGGAAGAATTTGAACACAGGGCAGCCTAACTCCAACACATATGTGCTGTCCTGGTATCATATCAAGGTGCTTCTAACTTCATAATGAAGAGGATGGACATAGAATTGTCCAGGATTCTTTGGATATATTGGATATAATATGCCTTTTAGACCCAGCTGTAGTTTGTTTTCCAAAGTAGCTATTCCCAGCTTCTCCTTAGCCACTAGATACGGTAGGGAGTTCCCTGAGCAAATACATACTGAAATCCATCTTTTTGGTTTTGTTTTTGGCTCTCCTGCTCTTTTTTTGTTTTTTTTTTTTTTTTGTTTTTTGTTTTTTTTTGACTGAGTCTCACTCTGTTGCCAAGCTGGAGTACTGCGGCAACGTCTCGGCTCACTGCAACCTCTGATTCCCTGGTTCAAGCAATTGTCTTGCCTTAGCCTCCTGAGTAGCTGGGATTACAGGCACGCACCACCACGCCCAGCTAATTTTTTTATTTGTAGTAGAGACGGGGTTTCACCATGTTGGTCAGGTGATCACGATCTCCTGACCTCGTGATCCACCTGCCTCGGCCTCCCAAAGTGTTGAGATTACAGGCGTCAGCCAACGCGCCCAGCCTGGCTATCTCTTATATTACCTGTTTATAGATCACAGTTTTTCCTACTGTGTAACTGTCCTTGGGCACAGATTCTGTTTCCCCATTCGGTGCCTAAATAGCACAGAAATGATAGAGTCTGGCTCTCTGGGGCACTGGTCTGCCAGCAGGCACCCTACTAGTGTTATGCTGGCTGATGACTGGACTCTAACTCTCACAGTGCTTGCTGTTTCAGGGCCTGATGCTTTCTGTACATCCAGAGGACTAGGTTTAAAATTGCAATAGTAATACCTTTTCCATGGAGTCAGTGTTATGTATGACATGACCTTGCTTTGGGCAAAGATTATGCATGCATTGATATACAAACGAATAATAGTTGGTGGTATGAATTATACGCCAAATTGTCGCCTCAGGTAAAATCAGTAACCTGCATTTCTAACTGAGCTTTTATTGCCAGAGACTCCCTAAGACTATTGACACCATTGGTCAGTATTACCGCAGGAGAATTCATACGTATTTAACACACCCATGCACCTTGCTAGCCAGATTGCAGATCCTATTTTATTAAGTTCTCAAAGGGAGAAAAGTGACATTGCAGAGAGGAAAATAAAAGTAAAAGTGATTAAGTAGCTTTCCTGAGTCATAACAAATTGTGAGCAATGGATCTAAATTTATTCATTTTCAATTCATTCCAAAACAATGTATGGAGTACATTTATTGTATACACATGTGTCTTAATCCATTCGTGGTACTATAACAAAATGCCTTAGACTTGGTAGTTTATACATAGTAGACATTTCTTGCTCATGGTTTTGGAGGTTGGCAAGTCCAAGATATCAATGTGCCTGAGATTTGATGTCTAGGAGGGCTGCTCTCTGCTTCCAAGATGATGCTTTCTTGCTGCATCGTCACATGGAGGAAGGGAGGAACAGTGTTCTTACATGGTGGAAGGGCAAAAAAAGGGACACACTTGCTGCCTCAACCCATTTTATAAGGGGGCAAATCCTGTTTCATCAGGGCAGAGCCCTCATGGCCTAATTACCTCCCAAAGTCTCCACCTCTTCATATGGTTGCATTGGGGATTAAATTTCAACATGATTTTTAGAGAGACACAAACATTCAAACCATAGTAATATGTTATTTTTAAAAGAGACAGTAGAGAATAGTGGCAGAGCACACAGTGTGGGGGATCAGACTACTTGAGTTAGGATTCACTTTTTAGTACTTATGAGCTGTGTGTCCTTAGGAAAATAATTGAACCTTTCTGTGTTTCCGTCTCCTCATCTGTAAAATGGGGATAAATAATAGTACCTACCACATCAGGGTGTTGTGAGGATTAAGCAAATTAATATATGCAAAGTATTTAAAATATTTATAATAGATAATATTTTATCTACATTTATTATTAATACTACTGCTGCTGCTGTATTTGAGACACTGTGCTGGAAACTGAGATCTAGAAATAAAAGCGACTATAGCTGCCATCAAAGATCTTTCAGTTTAGCAAGGGAGATGCCAGAATAAACTCTATAAGGAAAAGTGGGAAATGCAGGGAGTGAAACATCTCAGAGTGCTATGGCATCACAGCCAAGAGCCTCCCGAATCTTTGAAGTAGGAGTTTACCCAGAGGAAGTGATCACTGATCTGTGTGGTGAATTTTGAGTGGGAATCATGCAGAGAAGGTTTGAGAGACAGGTGATTCAGGGCAGCACCAAGAAGACCAAAGCCCGTTATCTGGAGAAGTACTCTTCCCCCTGGCTGTTTAGGTCTGTCTGGGAAGGTGCATTCAACAGAAAACAAAACCTTATATTCCATGGAAAAAGGAAAAAGATAAATGTCCTTGGGAGCAGTTAAGTGTTGGTTTGTTCTGTGGTGTTGAGCTCTAAACTCCAGTCCTTTCGATAATGTAATTCCTAACAGTGGGGTGGAGAAGGCAGAGAGAAGAAAAGCCAGTGTATTAAAGAAAAGGCTGTGGATTTCTGAAAGGAATGAGAATTCACACACCAAGGAAGAATCTTCAGAGAAGGGAGAGGAGGTGGTTGGCAGTGGCTGGCTGGTAGTTAGGATGGAAGGGGATTGGGGAGTGGACACAGATTTTACCCACATTGCAGTACTTTCCTGGGCAGAAGTGAATGCTGGCTGGACGTGAGCTACCATAATAGTTGTTTGGAAAAGAATTGGTTCCATCAGAAGTAGACGCCATGCAGATTTGAGCTGAGGCTGCTGCCTCGTGTTTTATTTTCCAGCCGTGGACTCCAGGGTGCTATATATTATTACTCTAGATGCAGTAACTACTCCCCATCACGTTGGTAGTTCATTTTTACCTTTTCCAAGTGAACACTTTAGTCAGACTGATTTACGTTTTTTCCTCCTCTCTGAAATAGAGGAGTGCTCTTTAGCACTTTTACCCTTTGAAAATATAAAATCACTCAAGGGCTTTCATATTTTCAAAGGGCAGAAGCAACTTTAGCGAGAGAGAAGAGTGCAAAAAGCTGACTGATCTTTTTTTTTTTTTTTAAATGCTGTAATGAAAACATGTAGAAGACATATCCTGCGGGCCAGTGTATGTGGACGCTGGTAAAAAGGTGGAGGAAGTGGGGAGGGGTGAGAGGGCAGGGAAGGGTACACATTTGGAAAGTGAAACTGTTCCGCTGTAGCTGGAATTTGATTTTTATTTTTTCCTTTTAAAGTCACTGGAGGAGAAATAGTCCTTATCATTTTTCCCCCCAGGTTCATGCTAGGATACAAATAAAAAAGTGTCTCTGAAGATTTTAATTGAGAAAACGACTGCCTCCTTCTTTGGCAATGATTTGCCAAATCTCTAACCGCTGAGAATGAAATCAACGCACCATCAGGAACTTGCCAGTGTTATTCCTGAGTGAATTTTGCCTTCAGAGTGACAGGTATAGTTATGTCTTCTCGAAAGTGCAGAGGGAACGGTTCACCTGTCAGGTGAGAAACAAATAACTTAGCCACCAGCCAGCCCCATTACCTCAGCCTTGTACCACACCTGACATACAGTAGACACCTCTGGAGCGGTCCATCATTCCAAAGCACCATATTTTACCTAGTGAGGTGCTTACTACAAGCAGCTATAGAAAAGATCTACTGACTCAGGCTTCATTGGCAATGCTCAATTCCGAGGTGGATGGGCCATTTGCGTCGTCCACAAAGTACACACGACCAAAGTGTTATCTGCAGGAAGGGTTTTATTTATGCTTATTATTATTGTTGTTGTTGTTTGAGATGGAGTCTCGCTCTATCACCCAGGCTGGAGTGCAGTGGCATGATCTGTGCTCATTGAAACCTCTGGGTTCAAGCGATTCTCCAGCCTCAGACTCCAGAGTATCTGGGACTACAGGCCCATGCGGCCATACCGAGCTAATTGTTTGTATTTTAGTAGAGATGGGGTTTCACCGTGTTGCCCAGGCTGGTCTCAAACTCCTGAGCTCAGGGAATCCACACACGTCTGCCTCGCAAAGTGCTAGTTATGCCTATTATTAAATATAAACTTGAACAATGGCGTAGGGAGCGTGTAGCAGCTGTGACTCTTAAATGCCATTTGCCAAAAACGTTGTCTTTTTTGGGTATCCCAGTGGTTGCAGCATTAATCTACAGGCTGAGGATTAGCTCCAGACCCTGGTTCCAAGAAGGCACTCAGGACACTGATGACTGTTTCCAGAATGATCTGGGTTGGGATTTGCAGTATAATCTGATAAAGAACACACTTTGCCATTTCAGTGACTCAGAGGTATCATAATTTCCCTTTCTGTCTATTTTTTTCTTAAGCAGCCTTCACTGCTACGGTCACACCAGAAAGAATATTCTGAGTGGTAGAGTTACATTCTACTCTGAGTTTACTGCAGAGAAGCAATTAATTGTGAAACTATGTGAGTTTTTTAGTGCTGCTTCAGATGGACTTGCGCATCAAAGGGCCGCTTAAAATTCATGCACAGTAGCAACTGTGAAGGAACACCTAAGACTCATAAATAAGGCAAACCTATCTTAATTTATTGCCAGTACCTTCTATACCCATTGAGCTATTCAGAACCCTGCACAATTGATGTTTCTTTCCTCCAGTTATTTCAGTAAAAAATGAACTCTATTTTATGCCACACAAGCATACTAATAAACCAGGGTTTTGCTGCTTATAAAGGCAAACTGTCACCTGTTAAAATATGTAACTGTCATAGAAAGATAAAAAAGGATCATTTAATAATGATGAACAATGTGCATGTGGCATAAATAGAATCCAAAAGGTAAACAGCAGTTTATTATGCTAGAGCCAGCCAGAGCTATTTCTCAATGGGAGACTCTCAGTGCTCATCTTTTGTGCTCTTCCTTTTAAGGGAAATACAACCTGGCTTTGAAATGATTTGTGTGTGTAGGGGGGTGGGGGGCGTGTGTGTATTTCACGGAGGCTCATTACCGATTCAGGATATGGACTGTTGCCCTTATACTGAAAGCAAAAAATGGTTTTCAGGCATATGTTAACTCTGATGAGAACAATCTTAAGTGCACTATGTCACTATTTCCTTGAGTTTTATAACAGGGACCATTTAGAGGTTTCGTTGTGTTAGTAGGTTTGGGAAGGAGGTTGTTTTTAATTAAGCTCCTCAGCTGCTTTTTCGACTGTTTGAAGCCAGATATATATCTCTAGCAAGAATATGTCTGATGCTACTAAATAAAGTCAGTGCTGGCAAAAAATAAAAGTGGGTTATTGTAGTTGTCTGGGTTTCTTGATCTCTTTTTATTGACCTGTGCAAATAATACCTCCGTGGTACAGCACTGAAAATTCTCCAGATTAAGAGGATGATTCTGGGCACTGGGACAATGTTAAATTTGTGTACATGCTCACTAAATTTTAACAGTCATATGGGGTTCCTTGCCTCTGGTGCAATGAGTAAGAGCTTATAATGAAACTTTTTTTATTAGTAGATACTTCAGTTATACTTTATTAAACTTTAGGGAATTAAAATGAAAAGAGCTTCTCCAATAAGAGTTCCTTCTCCTCTAGAGTCATTTCTCCCTCTGTTTCCAGTTAGCATGTATTTACATTGACTAATGTCTTGGAAACTATAGTTATGGTCGGCCGAATAGATATTGACTGTTTCAAAGATTGTGTGAATATTTGCCCAATAGGCAGCCCTGTTTTCTTAAATATTTGGCCTTTCATATTAGGTTCAATTTCAAATGATTTAAAAGCTTACTTAAGTATTGAACACAGCCAAACCAGCTTTAAAAAAACAAACAAACAAGCCTTTCCAGCACAGTTCAATGTAAGGCATTGTATTCAGTAGGAAACAGACTTTCACCCAAACCTGAAGAGCAATGATTGTACTGAAAGAATTTAGAAGGGCTTCATTGGAGAGCCAGAGGGAGCTAGTTTCTGGGATTGAGAATTACAATAACTTGGATCCCAGCTCCATTACAACCAAAATGTCCTGTTTCCAGGGAGGTTTCTTCTTTTGGAGACTTCATTTCTCAGCAAGATGCTTAAAATAATTAAAATAATTGTGTTGCTTCTTAAAGTGATTTATAGACAGATAAACAATCCCTTCCTAAGTTCAAGATGGAATCCTGTGATACTAAATACTAGAGCAAGATTTGCCTACTTTCTCATATTCCATAGTACGATTAATCTTCAGTACCAGAAATCTATTTCTAAAAGCCTCTTGTTATTTTATCACTCCCCAAAAAGCAACAGTAGTTCCTTATTGCCATTAAGATAAGGAACAGACTTGGTAATGTGATGTATCCTCAGGCTACCATTCCAGTTTCATCTCTCACCACTGTCCACTCAGTACTTTATACTCCAACCACAAAACATATCATGAACTTTTCATAGCTCTGCACCTTCACATATTCTTTTTTAAGAGACAAAGTTGCTTCACCTCTCTATCAGGCTGACAAACTCCTATTTAACCCTCTAAGCCCATTTTAAAGGTGAAAACCACTGTAAATCCCTCTAATAATTCCTCTGAATAGAATGAATCACTACCCTCTGAGACCAGTTTCTTAAAATGTGGCATTTAATTTATCAAATTACAATTAATAAATTGCTTATTTCTGTCCATTTGCGCTAAATTTTGAGAGACTGCGTTTTAGTCATCTGTGTGTAGCACATGATACTTAATAAATTGTTATTTTTCTTAATTAAAAGCATTTTTTTTTTAGAGACAGGGTCTTGCTCTGTTACCCAGGCTGGAGTGCAGTCCAGCTCACTGCAGCCTTGAACTCCTGGGTTCATGTGAGCCTCACACCTCAGCCTGCTGAGTAGCTAGGACTACAGGCTCATGCCACTGCACCTGACTAAATAATTTTTGTTTCTAAGTCATAATGGAGTTTTTCTAGCCACCTAATAATGAAGCCACACATCTGTAGCTTTGTATCTGAACAATAAGACTTTAGTATTTAAAAGATGATTTGAATAGTAAGCCTTCATAATAGTAGAGTAGATGACAGAATACAAACTGAATAAATGACCTGACCTTAGGAATTAGAATTAGGTGGCTGATTTTTGCAATTTTTCAAATCCTCCTGGATGATCATCAAGTGACAACTGACTTGCCTTGTGGCAATAAAGCAAACTTCTAGCCTCTCACTTTCATTTGACAAGTGAGAGTAAATAATATTGTCTACCCCTCCTGTACTGGCTGCAAACTCCAATAGTATAAAATTGTCACAAGTTTATCAGAAAATAATGCACTCATGATTTTTTGCTATAATTAATACCAGTATTTATTTAATACATTTCTTAGAAAAGAAACCACTTTTATGTTTTGAGACTAAGCTTACAAATGGGTCATCCTTTGTTTGGTCCAGGCAAAAAACATAATCAAATAAGGTTTTGTGATTTGTAAGATAAAGTAGCATTTTGGAGAGTGAAAGCATGGGCTCATCTATATCTAGCTATCGCATATAAAGACTAAATTTACAGCAAAAATTGTAGCTTATCAATTCATTAATCTATTTGCTCAGGCACTGCAGATGTTCTACGTGCAAATGAATAGAGTGGTTAAATTCTTCCACAAGCTTTCAAAGTGGGATTTGCAATACAGTCTATTGGGGTGCAGGAGCAAAACGCCTTTTCATGTGAAATGTTTCAAGTATATAATAGGACATAGAGAATACTTCGTAATGATTATTCATGTGGCTGCACCAAGCTTTGGCCAACATCTTTTAATCTAGAAAATATTTGACCGGGTGCAGTGGCTCATGCCTGTCATTCCAGCACTTTGGGAGGCCGAGGTGGGTGGATCACCTGAGGCCAGGAGTTCGAGACCAACCTGACCAACAAGGTGAAACCCCATCTCTACTAAAAATACAAAAATTATAGCCAGGTGTGGTGGCAGGTGCCTGTAATCCCAGCTACTTGGGAGACTGAGACAGGAGAATTGCTTGAACCCCGGAGGCGGAGGTTGCAGTGAGCCGAGATCATGCCACTGCACTCCAGCCTGGGTGATGGAGCAAGACTCTGTCTCAAAAAAAAAAAAAAAAAAAAAAAAGAGTAAAAGGTGTTAAGCTTTTTTTATATATAAAGTACAAATTGCCTCTTGTGCCTACTCAGGCTATTGGCAGGGCCATCCTGTGTACCTGAGATGTGTTAAGAGTAGAGTGGAGTTTGCACAGCCCAGAAGGCTTGCAGAGTACAGCTGAGGGATCCTCTAGTCTTCACTGATCTGCATAAAATGGGCAGATGGTTCATAAATATTCCTGCAAACAAGTAGTACATTGAAAACAGTCATAATAACGCAAACCGCAAATGAAACCAAAGAAAGTGGAAGAGATGTGCTTCTCCAGGTCTCAGTGCATACTCTCTATCTTCCATATTGTGAGGAAAAACAGTAACAGTCAAAGCAGGTTTAACAAGAAGTTAGACAAATCACTTTAAAGTGACCTTATTTAGACTACAGTTAACAATAAATTCTACTCTTAGGTTATATTAAGACTGTGACCTTATCATAGTCTGATGCTATTACTTAATCATATTCTCTAAATATGGAGCTATAATGATTAGCAAGGTGTGTTATGCTAGGTCTTTTTTTTTCCCCATAAAGATTCTTCATCTTTAGAGTAGGGATTGACAAGCTTTTTCTGTAAAAAAAGATAGATAGTAAAAATATTAAGCTTTTCAGCTCATGAGTTCTCTATTACCAGCATGTCAATTCTGCTGGGAAAAGCAGCTATAGACAATCCATTAATGAATGACTGTCACTAGGTTCCAATAAAACTTTATTTATAAAAGCAGGAAGGAAGCAGGCTGGATTTGACCTGCAGGCTATAGTTTGCTGACCCTTGCATTAGAGACACATATAGAAATGCTTATAAAAATAATATGATGGCTGGGCGCAGTGGCTCAGGCCTGTAATCCCAGCACTTTGGGAGGCCGATGTGGGCGGATCACCAGGTCAGGAGATCGAGACCGTCCTAGCTAACATGGTGAAACCTCTTCTCTACTAAAAATACAAAAAATTAGCCGGGCATGGTGGCAGGCGCCTGTAGTCCCAGCTACTCCAGAGGCTGAGGCAGGAGAATGGCGTGAACCCAGGAGGCAGAGCTTGCAGTGAGCCAAGATCGCGCCACTGCATTCCAGCCTGAGCGACAGAGCGAGACTCGTCTCATAATAATAATAATAATAATAATAATAATAATAATAATATATCTGGGATTAGCATCAAAATGTGTTAGAAATGTTAGGGAGAGAGGGTAGAGATATAAATGAGAACAGATGGGCTATGTATTGATAATTGTTGAAGTAAGGTGATGGGTACATGATAGTATATTACATATTTCTGACTGTATGTGTTTAACTTTTCAATAGTAAAAATAAGCCTCCAGAACATTAGGGCAAACCTCTTATTTTTTTCTTCAAAATCTTTAAAATCATCTTTCAATTTAGTAAGTTGACCACCTTTCACTAAATTTGATGATAAATGTTTGGGAGCTTATTCGAGGTTTCTTTAAAACAAAAGATAATTATCCACATACCACTGGAAGAAAAGTGTGTTTCTCTTTGCTTTGTAAAGGTGCCTGAAATAATATGTAGCCAACATTATAGCATTCAATTGAAATGTATTCCTTTGCTGACAAATACTGTTGGACCATATATAGTAAATACTGTTGAACCATATATAGTAAATACTGTTGAAGATTTGAAGGAACAGGTATTAGAACAAACTAGTCATGGGAGGTTTGCCAAATGGTTAGGTTAAAGTGCAGATGTTCCAACATCTCAGAGCTTATGTGGTTTGTTAGATTATATTTCAGTTGTGAAGTACATAAAGGTCTATTCCAGTAACTATTGTATGGGAAACCACCCCAAATTTAGTGGCATAAGACATCCATTTTATTATGCTCTTGGATCCCACTGGTCAGGAATTCAGCAGAGTGCAATGGGGATGGCTTGTCTCCGCTCCATGAACTCTGGGGCCTCAGTAGGGAAGAATTGAATGCCTGGAAGTGACCAGAATGGTTGGGGCTGGAATCAAATGCAAGTTTCTTCACTCATATATCTAATACCTTGGTGAAGGCTGGGCTCAGCTGGGATGGTTAATGGAGCACCTACACATGGCCTTTTTGTATAGTTTAGCTTTTCATGGCATGGCAGCTGGGAGGAAGCATCCCAAAATGGAGCCTCTGGAGAATGCCTATTCCAAGACAAGTAGACAGAAGACAGAATTTTAAGATGCAGTCTTGGAAGTCACTTCTGCCATGCTATATAGATGGAAGCTATCATGAGGCGACCAGATTGAAAGGTTGGAGACATAGAACTCACCTCTAGTTGGAAATAATGTCAACATTTTTGGGACCATATATCACTGCCACAGGGACTGATTTTTTTTTTTTTTTTTTGATGAGCCGTTAAGGGAAAGTTAACCCAGAGATATATACCCACTGTAAGCAATAAATAAATTTTGCAAGTGTAATCACTGATTGAGTAGTCATTTTGATGGCGGAAAAAGAATTTTTCCAGGGTAAGTTTAATAAGAAACCACCCTACATGAAGTTTATCTATTTCTCCATCATATATGATTGAGCTCTTTAGACATTAAAAATCTTCAACCACATAGGCACAAAGAATAGCATGTTGTATTGATATAGCTAATTTCATAAAAGAACAAGACTGTTAAATTAGTCTAGAATCTTGACAATATTTTGTGCTGAGTTGGGAAGTGACCATGAATATTTGTTGTTGTTGTTATTGTTTTGAGATGGAGTCTCACTCTGTCACCCAGGCTGGGGTGCAATGGTGCGATCTCGGCTCACTGCAACCTCCGCCTCCCGGATTCAAGTGATTTTCCTGACTCAGGCTCCCAAGTAGCTGGGATTACAGGCACCCACCACCATGCCCAGCTAATTTTTGTATTTTCAGTAGAGACGGGGTTTCACCATGTTGGCCAGGCTGGTCTTGAACTCCTGACCTTGTAATCTGCCTGCCTTGGCCTCCCAAAGTGCTGGGATTACAGGCATGAGCCACTGCACCCGGCCTGACCATGAATATTTTTTGAACCGCATAGATGTTCTCTGGCTGTCCTAGGCAAAAGAACCTAAAGAACTGTCAAACATCAAAATGAATACGTATTTTTTTTTCAGAAAGGAAAATTGTTCCAGGTTTGCTGACCTTTTCTGTGGTGGCAAGTGAGTATCACTAGATTTCTAACTTGCAAAGATTTTGAAAAAAGAAAGACAAAACTACATCTGATGTTTCTCATCATCATAAAAATGAATGAAAACATAAATGATTCTAAAAAATAAACTTATAGAATGTTGAGAATATTTAAAAGTTAGAGTTTGGAAGTGAGTGCATTAATTTATGATTTTTTTGTTCCAAATACTCTTTGTTTCCTATAAATTCCCATATTCCCTTAGAAAACTTAGAAACATAATATTATAAATGTACTTTAATGTTTTCCAAATAACAAAATTTTCAATGGTTTTCCAACTGTTTGTTAAAAATATAAATTTCAGTATCTTCTGATTCTTTTTTAGAACAACTTAGTGACATCAGTGAAGATGAAAATTTATTAAATGAAACTAACAAAAAAACCTGAAAAACGTGGATGGAACTGAACAATGATTAAATTACTTAATAAGTGCACCCAGAAATGTAGTTCTTTTGGTCTCATAGATTCCTTACAATGTCTTTTTCCACTCTAAAAGCCATTACAACCTAGTACTATAGTGATAAACATAATTTAAAAACAGAGCCTTGAACTCCTTTATCACCAAGTAAACCAAAATAGTCAAAAGTACTATTGCATATTAAATCACATTTCTCTGGCTAGGGTTATTAATAACTAATGTTTCTGTGATCTCAAAACTTTTGTGCCCTATTTTAATAATGTCACACATTTAAAAAATATTTACTTCATATTTTGTCATTACTTAAAATTTTCTGTTTGGGATATATTTTACAATATAATAATAATAGATGACTTATTTAGAACTTATTAGACTCTGGGCACTGTTCTAAATATATTGCTTATTAACTCTTTTAATGCTCATAACACCCCTATGAAAATGATACTGTTTATCTCTGCCTTAAGGATGAGGAATACAGTCAGAGAAAGAAGTATCTTATGCAGGGTCCCTACATAGATAAGAAGACATTACTGTATGTATTTTCTAAATAAATCTACATTTATTGGGGATCCAATAAAAATTATAACTGAACAAATTATTCAGTGACCAAAGTTTGGCTATCACTAACCTGGAGGATGAACCACGAATTCATGAAACAGTATGTGGGTGGGTAACCATAGTTTACATTAATCTATTGCCTATTACAAAATAACTAGAAGAGAATATTTAAATGTTTCTGGCATAAAGAAAACACATATTTAAGGTGATGGATATCCCAGTTACACTGATTTGATCTTTACAAATTATATGAATGTAGTAAATTATCACATGTAACCTGAAAATTGGTACATTTATTATGTACCAATAAAAATGACAAAACAAAACAAAAAATGATATCTGGACTATTCTCAGCCTAGCCCTAGTCCACAGTCATCCCATTTGCCAAGCGTGCTCTAGTCAGACCCCAGGTGGCCCTGAACACCCATCTTCCTTCCTGTCTCTCTGTCTGGGGTGTGCACTCTCCTCTTCTTATATTAGCCTTTCTAGTCTTACCTGTCTTGCTTACTCATTCTTTGAGATCCAGTTCAAATGCTCGCTTCTTCATGCTGCCCTCCTTGACTTACATCTGCAGAATTCGCAGCTCCCACGGTCACCATTTCCACTTGCTTTATGATAGTGTCAATGTTTTCCTGTATTTGTTGATTAGTTTTTTTAAGTTTTCTCGTTTATCTTTCCCAGTAATACATAAGCTTGCAAAGGCCATTAACCATATTGGGTTCAACTTATTTAAAAAAAATTTCTTCTGTTTGGCACAATGCCAGACATATTCTCTTCCAGTTTCTCCTACTGCTGTGCTGATATTCAGCCTCCCATCGCCGGTTTGGGTATGAGATGCTGTCATCAGTACTTTAGTAGTCTATTTCATTTCATCTGAACAATGACCCAGTGAAGCAGGTCCTTTAGGAGACTATGTTTACAGGGATTAAGCAGTGAGTCCAAGGTCACACAGATGGGTGTGGAGATTCAAACTCAGGTCTGTGACTCTGAAGGGCATGTCCATATCCATTCTGCTACATAAAATCCTGTGTTCAGTACAGCTTTGATGGCATCCCCCAGCCACTAAAGTATGAGAGATCTTTAGTGGCACAGAGTAGGGTTTTACTGTTTGGAGTAGGATGGGAGAAGGTATTTATTCTACTGCTTCCTTTTGAATGTATCTCTTGTGTATATCAGAAGATAATTGAGAGGGAAGGACAAGAAATGAAACTGAGGCAACCAGAGAGATGAACTTTTCTTTCCACCAGCCATGAAATTTAGCTCAGTGTCGAGCCATAAGAAATTCTCCCAATTTTCCTCCTGTACTGTTTGTGTTTCATTTTTAAACGGTCACCTAGTGGATGCTTGAGTGTGGCCAGGTAAACTCATTATGTGGTAAGCAGTCGATTTCTTGGGCTTTCGATAGAAGATTGCATGTGGTTATAGCTGTTTGTAGAGTTTGGTGCAAGATATTGCTGCACCTACTACACTCATGTAGCTGATTTAATTCAACCAATGTCCATCTACTTTTCAGTGGAATCATTCTCTCCCGATTGTCTCAGGAGACGAGCTTTATGAGAAACCATTTTCTGACTCTGATTATATTGAGTTAATTTTTAACCCTAGTTACCCAGCTTCTGCCTTTTTCTTTTGAATAGTCTTAATAAACAATAATGATAATACAATAGGCTTTCTTAATTAGTGATTATGACAAATTGATAGACTGTATGTGTCATTATCGTTATAGTCATGTTTGGTGCAGTTTAGTATATTCTTCAAATTAAAACTAAAATCTTGTGTCCTGTCAGATCTTAAATGATAAAATCTAAGACACAGCATCACTGCTCATTTATATTTTTATGAACCTTTTGGCTTTGTACAAGTGTCTAGCAGATACCTGCATCATGGCCGTTTAAAACAGTGGCTCATAACATACAGTAAATTTATAGGCAGTCATTTCTTCCAGTTGCCAACTTATGTCACTGTACTTGTGGCTGCAATAAAAAAAAAATCACTATTTATTTCTTTAACTTTTAACATTGAAATGTGCCCCTATGGTATATATATATATATTATGGATATATTACTATGTTACTGGGGTAGGTCTCCTGCCATTTCTCATCAGCAGAGCACATCTATTCGGGTGAGCTACATTTTTAAAATATATACATGTCACAGTAATCATAACTGATATTTTAAGAGAGATTAATGAATTCTGTCCTATGGCTACATTGCAGGAAAATAAGCATCCTTAACAGGAATGCAAAAAATTTGATTTTGGAGATTTTTGTCATTCAACAAATATATTTGTATATATAAATTAAAATATATTTAAATATAAATCTAAAAAAGTATACCTGTATAAATATAGGTATACCTATATGTATAGGTATACATATGTATACATATATGTGTGTATGTATATGTATACACACATGCACGTGTGTATGTATATGCATACACACGTGCATGTGTGTATGTATATGCATACACACGTGCACGTGTGTATGTATATGTACACACATGCACGTGTGTATGTATATGTATACACACACATATGTGTGTGTATGTATATGTATACACACATATGTGTGTAGGTATACCTATATTTATACAGGTACCTATATTTAGGTCTACATATGTATACATATATGTATACAGGTATATATTTTATATATGTATACATATGTATACCTATATTTATACAGGCATACATATATATTTATATTATACATGTATTATATATTATATTACATGTAACATATATTATGTATACCATATGTATACCTATATTTATACAGGTATACATATATATGTATACATGTATACATGTATACATATATATTTATACATGTATACATGTATACATATATATTTATACATGTATACATGTATACATATATTTACATAGGCACTCTATCTGTATAAGTGCCTATAATTTGCTGGCCGTTGCTATAGGCAGGGGATAAGACAGACAAAGTTTTTCCCCTCATGGAGCTTCCATTTGAGTAGATATGTTTGAAATAAATTGCAGCCCTGAGGTTATCTTTTGAGAAGCCTTCATGTCACCGCTGTAGATAAGAATATCATGGCAAACACAGTATGGATGGGAGCTCTTTTTAGCTGCACGTGCTGTAGAGCCTTGGTTAGGTGTAACATATGGTCATTCTACCCACCACTAAAATAAAACTCCGGGAGAACACAGCAGCTGTGGAATGGAATTAATGCTAGGCTGTTTTTGAAACTGTGGGATTTTCATGAAAAGAAAAAAAATAAAACATGAGGTTGAATTGCTGAGTGTTTATGGAGCCCCAAACAAAACTGAAAAATGATGTTTAAAAAGTAACTATTACTTGAAGTATATTTTCAGTTGACTAGCTGGAGAATGTAATGATTTCTTCCTTTTTTAGAATTTTCCGTTTTAAATGACCGTCCTTGGTTGGGTTCCCCTGGGATGTGGGCTCTGAGTGCAGACCAGCTTGCGGGAAGTTCACTGGTCACACCCTGGGCATCAGCTCTGAGGGGAAGAGAAGACTCAGGGCTAGTAGAGGGAGAACTTCAAGGTCAATATCCTTGCAGCAGAGGCCACAGTGGATTCCACGGGGAGCTCTGGAACTACAGTGGCTCTTTAGAGTGTTCCAAACTCAGGCAAGTGCCCGGGACTTGAACACTGCTCTGCCCTGCTTTCATCCCCAATGTCACCTAACATGGCCTGCCCCTGGGGAGAGGGTGACTTAGAGTGAGCCAACCCTTTACAGCCCAGGACTGCTTTCTACACTGTGCACCAGCTGCCGCAGTGCTCCTTAGTGGACTCAGGGGTGCTGTAGGACTCAGTAGGAGCTACTAGCTCAAAACAGTTCGCCACTTCTACATAAGATTGCAGTTTTCCTTCCAAAACCAGGTTTTCAGTAGTCACTGTGATTAAAAAGCAAGTAACATGTGAAACTCAAAGTAAAATAGAAAACAAGGGTGGTGATGTCCAGTCTTCCAGAGTTTGAAAAGTTGTGTAGTGCCTAGTGGGACTTGAATACTTATTAAGCTGTTTGAGCTACTTATTAAACAGTACATTAGGTATCACTTTTAATTTAAGGAATGCCAGGAGAGGCTCCAAAGACTGATATAATTTGAGGAACTCTGGTCTAAGCAATTGCTCTAAGCAAATTGTGGGTGAGGAGGGCTCATGAATGGGGAGGACAACTGAAAGTTGTCAGCCACCAATACTCCCAGTAGGCAGGAGAATGAGTGCTTTTGTCTTAAAGACGGAATCTGGACTTAACTGACAGCATTCATTCATTTGGCTAAATATGGAGTATCTCAATAATCTTTTCAGATACAAGTTTTTGGAGTCCCCAGACACAACACCAAATAAAACAGCACTTCCCGAATTAATCAACTAGAGTCAATTAAAACGATTATAAGAGTTTGGTAATGCATGTATCTTATCGTTCTGTTGCTACACAACATGTTAACACACACATAAATAACTGTGAAGAAATAGATAGGTGTTTCAAGATGGAGTCAGTAGGCGTAATTTAAGTACTGAAGGTCCTTGCCCCAACTTTTCATTTTGAACTGCCACAGCGGATATTATTAGGATGAAAAAGCTTACAGCAAGGCCTCTTTCAGACTTAAGGAATAAAAACTTCCCTCTGTGTAAGTCAATCTGAATTGTGGTGGGAAACACAGTGTTAAAGAGTTTTCTTTATGTTTAGAAAGCTCCCCAAAAGGTGGATTTCAGAAGTATTTTTCCCCAAGGAAATTAGGGAAAATTAATAGCTGAAACTCAGGAAAAAGATACTCATTTTAATTTCAGTGTTTTAGTCTCATATCATAACCACTCTAGGATGGTAATATTTGAAAATTCTTGCCACTTGACCGATGGGTGTTTTTTGGCTTGCATAAAATCGGTTGCTTTTCCAGTAAGCTTGGGTCAGAAAACTCTTACTAAGTGTCCACAAAGCCTGGAAAAGTTTGTTAACTATAAATTTAACATCCTCCTTCATAAATTTTATTTATAACCCTGGGAGAAATACAGGCTTAACAACCCAAAGCATTTCATTTTCTCATAGGCTTCCCAGTATCATTTTTATGCCTTTTATGGAGTTTTTATATTAATGTCAATTTATCGTGGTTTTTTTTTTTTAAACTTTCTCAGTAATGAGGATTCATTTGTCTACCTCAACTGACTGAGCATAATTATGGTCTGAATGGAGCTCATTTTAACCTTTAAGAATCTCAAATCTTGTCTTTGTAAAGTTCAAAAGAGCTTGCTGGTACCAGGTGGCATTTAGAGAGTAAAATCTTTTCTTAGTCATCAGAATATATAAGTTCCTCCTACTATGGTGTAAAGGCGAGTTTTTAAAGACACCACAGTGCAAAAGGACTGCCAGGGTGAAAAGCCGAGAGTGAAATGGTTTCTTCAGATGATTTAGCAAATCTCTAGAGAAGGATTTGTCTTAAGAACTCATTGCTTAAGTTCAGCATAGCGGCACTCGTGTTCTAAGAGACTAAACTGCCTCAAAAGGGAGAGAAAATAATTGTCTAGCCAGATTGTATTTGTAACCTGTTTATCCAGCAGATATTGGATGAAGTTCAGCACCTCTGGTGTGTGGCCTGTGAGTGTGGTTGTGAGTGTGCACATGTGTCCAGCCTAGAAGACGACGGCCTGTGGATTGATGACAAGCGTTTATATCAGCCTGAAGAGAACCTCCAAATCTCATTGCTGTGTGATATGCCACGTTTTGTCCTTTGGTGGCAGACTTGGATAACAACATCAATTCATCATTTTATTTGTCTCCTAACACAGGTGGGCTGACCTGCAGCTTTATGATGTAAAAGTTTGTGTTTGTATTTGAAATATTGAAAATGTATTTGAATCATAGGCAACCACAACCCAAGAACATTTTTGTTGGCAAAATGATTTAATATATGCATAAAATATTTAAAAATTTTATCAATTCTAAAAAATATATTTTTCTTTGGGAAGCCAAGGCAGGTGGATCACCTGAGGTTGGGAGTTTGAGACCAGCCTGGCCAACATGGTGAAACCCCGTCTCTCCTAAAAATACAAAAAATTGGCTGGGCGTAGTGGCAGGTGCCTGTAATCCCAGCTACTCAGGAGGCTGAGGCAGGAGAATTGCTTGAACCTGGGAGGTGGAGGTTGTAGTGAGCCAAGATCGCACCACTGCACTCTGGCCTGGGTGACAGAGCAAGACAACGTCTCAAAAAAAGAAAACAAAACAACAACAAAATATATATTTTTATATATATATATATTTATGAAAACATAATGAAATAAGAAGACAAAGCTGCACTCTTCCCCTTTCACTTGCTCCCTCCTTTTGTGCTACCTATTTTGACCACATTTCACTCCCACCTATTTCCTATCTTTCCTACTACCCTTCCTCCCAAAGACCTTGGGTAGAAGAAATCTAATATTTTGAATCAAAATTTCATAACAGATATCACCATCTGTTATAAATAAATTAATGTGTCCTAATGTCAGGTAAAGAGTGTTGAAAAAAAATTCCATAAATATAAATCAGTATCATTGTGACAAGTCAATGTGGCAAAATGTGTCTTTCATACAGAAGAACATGACCTGGTTTTCTTTTCTCTGGGGCAATATCGGTGAAATCTTTTATTCATTTTCTTAGTTATTTTTGTTTTGTTTGTGCACATTTCAGCTCCATGAAGTTATGCTTATTTTAATTGTTTTCATTATTTGTGGAAGCCCGGTTGTATTTTGACAAGCATGGCTTGCCATCTGGCATACGTAGAATCTAATCTTGTCTTCACCATTTACTCTCTGTGTGACCTGGAGGAAATCACTGTGGCAGTTTCCTCATCTGTAAAATGGGCATAGTCAAGTTTATCTCCTGGGGCTTGAAGTAACATATGTAAAGTGCCATTGATTTGCCTTTAACTTCAGTTTTGTTTGTGTGCCTTAACTTTTATACACCTATATTGTAAGTAGTTTTTATTTATAATTACATTTTTTTTCTCATCACACCAAGACCTTCTGGAAACAAAATAGTTTAACATTTCTAAGGGATTAGGGATGTATGGCCAGATAAATGGGATATGTCCATGTACTGAGTCCATTGTTTGGAAGATGGGGTGGGTAGAGATAGAAGATTTCCTTGTGGTTTAATATAGGATCAATTTTTTGTTAATGATTCATGGAAATTGAAGATACAACGTGTTTTTTTATTGGCAGGTTGTGAAGATTTCAGTGTACATCTATTTAATCACTCTTCTTAATAAATTTTTGAAATCCTCAGAATAAATTGTCAGTAAAGAGGTTTACACTGATTTGTCCCATAATAACATGATAACAGCAGTAAGCTTGCCCTCTGAGTGTTAAATTGAATATTGACATATAATAGATCAAAGTTTATATATGTGGAAGTTGTTTTTTTTCTCCCCCCTAACATCAGAATTGCTTCTGGGTCAGCAAGAGTTGACTGGAAGTTAATTGGTTGAATTAGCACAGCTAATAAATAACCCATCAGAGTGTCAGACTCAGATGCGTAGACAACGGATGTCAAGGAGTCCCATGTGATCGGTGCCAGCACTTTCCAACATAGGCTGAGCATTTGTCAGTGTACTTCAGGCACTTTCAAGTCATCAGCATGGCTGTACATATTTTGAGATAGTTGCATGTAGCTACCTTAAGCTGATATCATTAAAGTTTTGATTTGTCCATCTCTTTTCACTTGTTTTGATTCCACATTCACTAAGCAATTTTCTGAGTTATGATATAATCTCCCATGTAGGTCTGTATGCAAGAAGAAATCAGGGGAATTTTTGCATGATATAGTGTGGCAGACCAGGTCTCACTAGCCTCCATAGCAACTGTTTCAGTACTGACTGAGTGGTTAGGTGAAATATTAAAAGCCAGTGCTCTTATACAGAGGCTGTAATGTAACAAAAGCCCACAGAGTTTTGCCTAGTCCAATCCTGAACCTTAAGGCATGATTAAACAAGTTTACTTGGAGGTTTACTAAATCAAACCTTTATGATTTAGCAGGAGACAAAATAAGGTTTATCACCCTAGCACCTGGACCCATTTGGATTAAGTAAACTTACTGAGGCTCCAGAAGAAGGTCTTCAGGACTCAGAACTTATAGATTAAAAGAAGTTAATCACTAATGTCTTTAGATGAATGCACACTTACACATAGACATATAGCTTAGAAGTTATATAAGCTCTGGAAAACTTTGTAATTTTGAGTTGGTCTGGCGATAATTTCCAGGCCTTCCCCCGTAACCGGTTACAGAAATAAAAACTCTTTTCCTCTCCAGTTCATCTGCATCTCATTATTGGGACATGAGAAATAGCAGCCCAACCCCCAGTTTGATCTGGGAACAACTGTGCTTGGGACAGTTATCTATTGCTGTAAATTAATAAATTAGCATTGAAACTATTGCTGTGTCTGCTGGCAGGAATATATCCTTAGGGCAGTTTCTTAAAGGCTAGTACATGGATTGTGCATTTTTGGAGCATTTTCTCAATTGTGGAGAGTTTTTGATTACATTTCTTTGATAATTCTTTTTCTGTGTCCTCTCTGTTGTCTGATTGGTGCTCCTATAATGCATATTGAATGTCCTGTACCTGCCTTCATTGTCATTTAGCTTTTCTTTTTTAATCTTCATCTCTTTATTCTTACCCCTGAGTCTTGGGTGACTTTTCTCAAGCTTTTACTTTACTGATTTGATTTTTTTCCAGAATCCTGACTGCCGCTCACGGCCCTCATTGTTGTCTCTCATTATGTGAGCTGGGCTTTCTATTTTTCCTGCTCTTGACTGTTTCTTTTCATGACCTTCTACTCTCATGTCAGAGATTCAGTGTGCTATTGAGTTCTGCTAAAATAATAAATTTAAAATAAGTACTTCCATCTCTTGTTGTCTTTCTTGGGAAGATGGTCACTTTGCTTCTTCAAAATTTTGCTTATGTATGGGGGAATACCTTTGCTTTTCAAAGAGTAGCAATTACAGTGGGTTCTTTCAGAGATGGTATTGAATGTTCTTCAAATCATTCAGGCTTTAATGAAGGGAGGAGAGAAAATTTGAGAGTCAGCAGCTTGGGCAGGGGTGGCCAGAAGCAAACTCAGTACCCGAGGCTGCCAGACCTATTTGTTGCCTGTTTCTTTCTATAGTTAGTGTGCAGGGGTTAGTTAGCCTCCCCCTTCCTTTCCTGGTCTGGGGCTTCTGATTTAACAGCCAGCCAGGACTGGGCTCCATCCTTCATTCCTGGTGAAAGCCAGTCTTCATCTAGCACTGAGTTCTGATGTCTGGTCCCTGCTCACAGTGCCCTCCAACTCCTGCTGTGCCGCCCAGATGCACTGGGAAAGTCACGTGTGCTTCCGGCTGCCCTCTGGCCACACTCATCAGCAGCCCTGACACTGTTACCTAATGGCCAGTAGTGAGCTGGGATCACTTCCACAACCTTCCCAGGTGCACGCTTTCTTCACATTTAAAATGTCTTCATTAGGGTGGTTTTCCTCAGTCTGACTCCATCTGCTTTATATCTAGCAAAAAAATCCTTGTTCTTTTTGTTGTGAAAAATATAAGCAGATTATTCCTTATTAAAAAAATAGTTGGTCATTTCAGTGGATATTTGAATTGGGGGATGGAAATAATTGTGTTTGCAGCTGTACATTACCTAGAGAACCAAATTTCATTTTTCTGTTGTTGCTAGGGATGTAAATTTATTTATTATTTATTATTTTTAAAATAAAAATTATATATGTATATGGTATACACATGTTTTGATGTAAGTATACATGGTGGAAGAGTATTGCAGTCAAACAAATTAACATATTCATCTCCTCACATAGTAACCTTGTTTTTCTGGTGATGACAGCACCTGAAATCTACTCTCTTAGTGAATTTCCAGAACCCAGTACAGCATTATTAACTATAGTCATCATGCTGTGCCTTAAATCTCTACACTTATTCATCCTATATTCATCTTACAAAGCTTGGTAACCTTTGATGAACACCTCCTCATTTTCCCACCTCTCTGCCCCTGGCTATCAGATATCTTTAAAAAATAATCCACCACTAAATGTTAAGTTTTGTTTAGTATGGTGGGTGCCAGTTATTGTCACCAGTAATGAGTGATTATCTACCCTAAGAAAGAGCCAGGATTTATAGCCTTGAAGAAATACAATTTCTGCCCTGTCCCAGGCTCCCTGCTATGACCGCCAGCCTAGGAGGCTCTGTCGAACTCCAGCAGAAACTCTCATCCTGCTGAGCTACTCAGAGGAGGCCACGGAGTATGCTGAATTCTAATGATGCTGTGTACACTCAATGCCTGTCTACTCAGTTCTTATGTAAATAGTGTCTGATGCTTACAGAGTTGAGTTAAGGCATCCTTCCTTCGGTGTTTCTGAAAGAAAAAGGTAAATAAAACAAACTCAAAAGGAATATTTGGTACTTCACTCAGTTGTCCACCTGTACCTTGGTGAGTTTGTATTTATAGTGAGGAGAGATGACATTGGGAATAGGAACCAGCTGTTTCTGAGATACAGTGATGAACTTTTACAATATCCAGAGAATGTAAAAATAATATAAATTCCATGTGGGTGGCAAATTGTCCCCAAGTGGACTGACCCTTTGCAATGAAGAGAAAACTTGTCAGCATTGTATTTTTGTTGTAGGTCACCATGGTGATTAATGAACACAGATTCCAAATGTAAAATGTGGTGGAATCATTTTCCATGGCTGGTTAATAACCAGGTCTATTACTCCCATAAACCTCAAGTCACGTTGGTGACTCTTTCCTTCTACCTTTAACCTGATTACCTCCACATATGTATAATGCTCTGAAGATGAACAGATAGGCAATGAACTTGCTTTGCTTCAGAAAGACATTGAGGTAGAGAGAGGCTCAGACTGCAGTTGCTGTTGGCTCTTCCGTTGGCAAAAGATCCCCAGCTTCCAATTAGCTAGAGCAAATTGGAACCAAAGTAGAAAATTGAATCTATAGACTTGGCCTTGTATAATCAAGAAAACTTCAGAATTCTGGCTACTCTTATGGTGGAAATAGAACACACTCTCATCAATCATGCAGTTAAAGGTCCAAGCATATGAACATTATAAAGAACTACCTTTACTTTCTTTCTTTCTTTCTTTTTTTTGAGACAGAGTCTCACTTTGTCACATAGGCTGGAATGCAATGGCATGACCTTGGCTCACTGAGACCTCCGCCTCCTAGGTTCAAACAATTCTCCTGCCTCAGCCTCCCAAATAGCTGGGATTACAGGTGCCCACCACCACACCTCACTAATTTTTATATTTTTAGTAGAGTTGGGGTTTTACCTTGTTGGTCTGGCTGGTCTTGAACTCCTGAACTCAAGTGATCTGCCTACCTTGGCCTCCCAAATTGCTGGGATTACAGGCATGTGCTACCTTTTCTTTATTGAGGTGGATCTGTAATGTCTCCACTTACTCTGCAAAATACCTGTGATGAAGGGTCTTTTGGAGAAGACAGTAGTGAGATCGTGGTATTTAATCCTTTGATATTTAGTGAGAGAGTCCATTGTGTCTCACGTTATGCATTAGATCCAGAGTTAAGTTTACAAATATTTATTTCTGCATTGGAATTGATTGTGAGATTCTGTGTGGGTATTGTTGTGCTTGTGCATTTGTGTGAGTGTTGTAGTTGTTATTGTTGGTGGGGTCGTTAATAATGAAAGGGAACACATCCTCTCTTTGGTGATTCTCTTAACCCACTGTCAACTGAAATAGAGTTCATATAGTCTTGGCAATATTTGCAACACTCTGATACCTCTTAAAACAAATTGTATCTTTAAATGTATTTACAGTCTAGTTTACTACTGCTGCCTCTTTTCATTTCTATTGCCACCAGTTTAGCCTTAGTTTTCTCTTGCCTGAAAGAGTGTATTTCAGTGGACTTCTCTATCACTGGTTACCTTCCCCATAGATTCATTCCATCTTCAGTTGCCAGATTAATCTTTCTAATGCTCAATTCTAATGATGTCTCTCCCATTCCCAAATTTTCTCAGTCTTTCCCATTGCCTAACAAAAATAGAGTTCTAAAATGATATTTATTTCAAACATATGTGTGCCTGTCTCCCAACTCATTACATCTCTCAGCTTGATGCCTTTTCCCCGTTACTCTGGGCACAAAGCCTTCTTTTTCTGTTCCCGTTGCCGGAACTCACTCAGCTCTTCAGCACCTCACCAGGCCTTCGCTGTGCCTCAGATCTCGGTTCTGTGATCACATTTCTGTGTATCCGTCTCCCCGTGGGCAAACTCCTCTCTATACTGAAGCCCTTTTTTCAAATCTTCTAACTCTTTGCCCTGATGAAAATTCACCTCTTTTTACTGACAATGCTACATTTTCTCTTTGCCGTCTCCTGCCCTGGTTCAAAGAAAGAGAGACATTTTGATGACTGTCTGCATACTAAGTCGGCTATACAAGGGGCACCATTTATCAAAGAGCTATACCTATGTTACTGAGTGGAAGTGGTCTTTGCACCAAATGAGTAATTACAGCTCTTTCTCTTTTAATACTTTTTTTTTCTTTTTTTTTTTTTGCCAAACTCCTCTTCTTTTTTTGAGATGGAGTCTCGCTCTGTCGCCCAGGCTGGAGTGCAGTGGCGCTGTCTTGGCTCACTGCAACCTCCGCCTCCCGGGTTCAAGCGATTCTCCTGCCTCAGCCTCTTGAGTAGCTGGGACTGCAGGCATGGACCACCACGCCCAGCCCTCTTCTTTTTGAAAGGTTAGCATTGCTATGCTACCTTCCCTGAAGAGCCTTTTATGGGCTGTGTGATGGATTCCTGCAGAATGTTCTCCTGTGAGCATGCCTTATAGCTGAGGTCTAGGACAGCCCCATTGCACTGTTCTTGCATCTTCATTACGATGGGAAATAAATCCTGCCATGCCTTTGATACTTCTAAGCAGATATTCTTCTCTCCATTCCTAGCCTGCTTACTTCGTTGGGTTTGGTGAATAGAGTTATGATGTAGCCTAAATCTAGATATCCTTTTTGCTTTTACATTTTCTGTGTATGGGTTACTTTTATACCACCTTTTGAATATCCACATTTAATGACCTATCCCTGCACATGTACTCGGTTATTCTTTTAGGCACTAAAATATCGTATTATTTTCCATCACTTAATAGCCAGCTAAGCCGGATTCAGCTGTAAAGAGCAGTTCTAAATCTCCAAAGGCTCACAGCAATTTGCAGAAGCAGGAATTTGGTCTAACAAATTGTTTTTCTTATGATAAGTAACCTAGTCATAGTTTGTCTCTTTTTAAAATGCCTCATGAAACAGCAGCCACTCTCTGAATACTGCTGTTGATGGCACCATAGCATCGAAGGAGGACAGCATGCTGTCAGCTTGATGGCTGCCAGTCCTTTTGAACAATTTCTTGTCCTCATTTTCCTTTCTTTGTACCTGTTTACTGATAAAATTTGGTTGCAAATTATGTAAATTTAATATGGTAGCCTACATTCCTCTTGTAAGGAACAATAAGCCAAACTTATACTAAACAATCCCATGACCCTTCTTAATACCCTTTTGTAATTACTTCTATAATTGGATTATCAGAAATTATTGTCACATGTGAAGTCTCTTCAATAGGGCATAAGGAGTTGTCAGGAAGGGGGTAGGATTTTTATATTTTTGTCCCGCATATATGACTTTGCCTAAACAACTTTATGATACCAAAATTAATATAGAAAGAGAGTTCATAAAACTTGATTCGGCACCATAATATCTGAGATATAAATGCTTCCCGTGTTCTTTAAAATGTGTGATTTCTAAACTGAACTTATTTTGCTTAACTAACAAGTTATTAAAAGACAAAAAAAAAAAAAGCAACCCAAAGCAGCATATCCTTCTTTCCTTTCCTTCTTGTTATCCCATCCTGGAATAATAATATTCATCAGCTAACGGAAAGTCAGCTACTTCAAATAGTACTAATGGAACTTGCTAAATATACTGATTAGGGCTTTTTACTTTTTAAAATTTAGAGTGAAGTACTTTATAAAGGATTCTCTCTTTTTTTGGGCAGCTTTTTTACTGTATGGAAGCATGCATATGTTTCTCTTAATAGACTTTCAGCCTTGACTAACACTTTCAATGTTTTATAACTCCCAGGCTGGCTAAAAGTAATAATACCGGTTGAAATGTGATCAACACAAACATTATTTATTTGGTAATTTAATGCTCTTGGGAAGCTATTTGGGGGTAGTTTTCATTCTGGAGGTTGTCAATGGTAGAGAAAAAGAAAATTAAAGCAAAACTATGTCATGTACAAAGGAGAACAATTTTTAATTTGAGAAAATTTGCTCATGTAATCTTTTTTTTAATAGATCATTCTCTGTCAGAATATTTCTGGTCACTTTTGTCCCCAGCATACAAATACAAGAGTTGATTTCTAACTGTTCACGGTCAAGTCTGTGCCTGCAGCATCAATATTTAGCAGGCCACTTCCTCTAATTATATCTGTGATGGAAGGTGAAACATTAAAGAACCCTATTAGTGAGGCACGTCATGTCACATTACAAATTAGCAGAGGTCCTCAAATGTGGATTGGAATCACCTGCGGAGCTTTAAAAATGCTCATACCTGGCCAGGCATGGTGGCTCACACCTGTAATCCCAGCACTTTGGGAGGCCAGGGCAGGCGGATCACGAGATCAAGAGATCGAGATCATCTTGGCCAACATGGTGAAAACCCTGTGTCTACTAAAAATACAAAATTACAAAACCCTGTCTCTCCTAAAAATACTAAAAAATACAAAAATTAGCTGGGCATGGTGGCACACACCTGTAATCCCAGCTACTTGGGAGGCTGAGGCAGGAGAATCTCTTGAACCCAGAAGGTGGAGGTTGCAGTGAGCTGAGATTGCGCCACTACACTCCAACCTAGTGACAGAGTGAGACTCCGAATAAAAAAAAAAAAATGCTCATACCCACGTCCTAACTTCAGAGATTCCTAAATTGTTTTAGAATGGGGCCCAGGCATCAGCATTTCTCAAAGTTCCCCACATAATTCTAGCACAGCCAAGGTTGAGATCTATTTATATCTAGATTCATTCAATTACCTACAGTCTTCAAAATAAATCTTGAAAGTTTTAACAAGAGTAATTTCTCTAGGAAGTCTTTTTTGGAATGGATTCATTTTAAATTGCAGGAAGATTTAGTGAGAATATCAACAGAAAATCTTGGTCTTGGCCAGTTTTATGAATAAATAAAATAAGATAAAGACTGCATGAGACTATATTAAACTATATTATGCTAGTGTATGCTTTTCTCTGAAAAAATCATACTGAGTTTAAAAATTATGCATATGAAATTATTATGGACTCATAGGGGGCATAAGCAACTTTTATTAACTAATAGCAAGTGTTTATTTCTTTGAAACATAGAGGTTAAAAAGCCATCTTTTAATTGAATGCTTAAAAAATTCACTACTTTTGGTGACAGATGTTATTTGCACAAGAATGACAAAAATATTACCTTCTTTCACTACTCCTAGCACTATCCATCTAAATCCCAGACTTAATGCAATGAGTTGGAGATACATTACCTCCTGACAATTTCACAGTTATCTTTATCCATTATCACTGGCATATAAACCACATCTATTTTCTGATTTAGCAGTAGGAAAATCTGGGGAAATTAATTTAAAATATAATGTTTCTTTTCTTTTCTTTTCTTTTTGACGGAGTCTCACTCTGTCGCCCAGGCTGCAGTGCAGTGGCACGACCTCAGCTCACTATAAGCTCCGCCTCCCAGGTTCACGCCATTCTCCTGCCTCAGCCTCCTGGATAGCTGATACTACAGGCACCCACCACCACACCCAGCTAATTTTTTATTTTTTTGTATTTTTAGTGGAGATGGGGTTTCACAATGTTAGCCAGGATGGTCTCGATTTCCTGACCTCGTGACCCGCCTGCCTCAGCTTCCCAAAGTGCTGGGATTATAGGCGTGAGCCACTGCACCTGGCCTATAATGTTTATTTTCTAGAAGCAAAATATTTCTCTCTCTGAGCTCTATAACATATAGTAAAGTTCTTTTAATCAATTTGCCTCTTTTGACCTGGGGTGCTTTTTTTCCTATTTGATACCTTTATCACTGGTGATTTTAGAATAGACTCATTCTAGTTGGCTTTGAGATAGATACCAATACCTAAATGATACACTCACTACATAGCAACACTCATGTTTTGGTGACTTTTTGAGTTTATGCTGTTATACAATACCACAAATTGTATAATCATAAGACTTTCACCTCTGTGGCCTATCAACTCCAAATTGCAGCTAGGCAGATATGAAACTGCTTGACAGTGCAGTAGTGTCCTTGTTA
Source organism: Homo sapiens (assembly GCF_000001405.40). Taxonomy (NCBI): domain Eukaryota; kingdom Metazoa; phylum Chordata; class Mammalia; order Primates; family Hominidae; genus Homo; species Homo sapiens. Next base: position 35,285,220 of record NC_000008.11, read on the forward strand.
GACTCATGGATGAGGAAAAGGCCTGCGTATTTTTCCAACCTATTCTCTGCAGGACAAGGCTAACTTATTTTCGGGCAAACACCTTTCCCTGGGTCTCCCTAGGAGAATTATGCCATTCATGCTAGGACATTCTGTAGTATTTGGAAGATAACCGTTGTCCCGAATGTTTGGCTCTAGTTTTGTTTAGAAGTAGTAATTGGTTTCAGATGAAGCTTTGCATAAGTTCAATTTCTAGTGTTCTATGAATATGTGAATAACGTTAAATTTTCTTCAAGGTGGTGATAGATGAATCCAAGTAAGCTTTCTGGGTAGCATTTAATTTGCTATCATGTGAGATAAAGGGTAAAAATCAAGCTAATTGATCAATTATATTTATTCAGGGATCTAGAAAAAACAATTTGTTTTTCTTAATCCAGAGCAAAGAATTGTAATCACTGCTGTATACAGGTTAAGCTTCTTACTGAAGAGGTCTTTCTGGGTGAGCCCCAGTGAAGGGTGTTTTACCTGTCTCTTGGGGTAAGAAGTCAGCCTTACCCCAAGAGATAGCCAGGGGAATCCACAGATTAATTCCCTTATGCATGAATCTGACAATGAGGCTATCAACATTATAAGCAGTTTTCTATCTAGCTACATTTTGGACTTTGTAGTCGAGTGAGGTGAAAGTCCTGTGATTGTACAGTTAGCACATTTTATATGACAGTATAATCTTAAAAAATAACATAGAAACAGAAACATTAGAAACGTAAGTCACAGTTTGTGAGTATGTCATTTTTTAGGGAAAAATAAAATATAGTAACGATTTATGAGGCCCCAAAGTTTTATATAAAAATGAAAAAGCTGTTTGGCAGTTAGGACTGACTGTAGCCTTCTGTCAAATCAGTCTTGACAACTGTTAAAAGACATTATCATCACAAATAGGGCTGCATTTCACTCTGTCTGTCAAATACAATCAATATATATGACTTTAAGAAAGTGTGACCATTTTCCCAGAGTGACACCAACAAGATGGTGGAATAGGAATTTTTGTTTAACTTTACTCACCTCACAGAAATCCAACTAGCAACTATCCACAGGCAAGAATACCAACCCAAATATTCAAGAACTTGGGAGTGAGTGCCACACCAGAGAAACTAGCCAACAGTGTCATACTGTAGGAAACACCGCCCACAAGTCTTCTAGGCTTGAATTCCTAGCGAGCTTCCCCACATTTGCCAGGTGCTTCTAAGCCAATGATTATGGAGGGAGCATCTGGCCCTGCCTGACCCTAGCAGTGGAGAGGTAATCCAACTAAGTTCTGGCGCTCACATGAAATCTTCCCCAGATTGGGAGAGAAGCAACTGCATGTCAGTGATTACTCATGGACACAATATCTGGTCCTGCCCAAGCCTAGCAGTGAAGAGATGATCCAACTCAGCCCTGATGCTCTCATTATGTCTTCCCCAAACCAGGAGGCAGTTGCAGGTCAGTGATTACCCATGGAAAGAGCATCTGGCCACCACCAAACCTTGGCGTTCTACTCTACCCTAGACCAGTAGGTAAGCCCAAGTCCACACATGTCTATAGGGCATATCCTCTGGCCTTGTCCACCTTGTGTGGCTGAGTAACAACCACAAAAATCTCACCCAGCATGGGAGCCTGTCATACAGCCGTGCCCAACTACAGGTTCCAAACAACAGAGCCAGGGAAGACAACTTGCAACTCTACCTAATCAGTCATGGCTGCAGAGTCCAATCAGCAGCCTCACCTGATGGCAAAGTTCAGCTAGTGGTTTCACTGATCACAGAGCACAGCCAGAAATACTATTTGATCTCAGAGCACAGGAAGCAGCTCAGCCCAATTATAGAACCTGACACCAAGCAAAGGCTGCCAGCCACCCCTCCAGAATCTCAGGCTAGACTAAATGGTAAAGATCTATAACCACCAAAAAACACCTGCAAAGGCTGGAAAATTTGGCTTTCTCCTCAAATGCACAGGCATAAGGACACAAAGATAATGAAAAATCAGGCAACATGACACCACCAAAAGAAACCAATAAAGCTTGTGTAATAGACCCAGAATAAATGGAGATCTATGAAATGACTGACAAAGAATTTAGAATAATCCTCTAAAAGAAGTTCAGGGAACTACAAGAAAATACAGATAGAGAATTAAGTGAAGTTTAGAAAACAGTTTATAAACAAAATGAAAAGTTTGACAGAGAAATGGAAGAAACAAATAAAAAAATCAAATGAAAGTCATAGTGATAAAGGATATAATAACTGAACCCTAAAAGTCAATAGAAAGCTTCAAAGAAGACTGGATATGGTGGCACGTGCCTGAAATCCCAGTACTTTGGGGGGCTGAGGCGGCTAATCATTTGAGTCCAGGAGTTCAAGACCAGACTAAGCAATATGGAGAAAACCTGCCTCTACCAAAAAAAAAAAAGAAAAATTGCAAAATTCAGTCAGGAATGATGATGTGTGCCTGTAGTCCCAGATATTCAGAGGCTGAGGTTGGAGGATTGCTTGAGCCCTGGAGGTTGAGGCTGCAGTGAGCTATGATTGCACCTTTGCACTCACTGGGTGACAGAGTGAGACCCTGTCTCAAAAAAAATGACTAAATAATAAATAAATAAATAAATATACTTTAAAGCAGATTTAAGCAGCAGAAAGAATCAGTGAGTTCAAATATAGGACATTTGAAATTATCGAATCAAAGCAGTAAAAATCAACAATATAAAAGAGTGAAGAAGGCCTATGAAAATTATAGAACACCAGTAAGTGGACTAACCTTTGCATAATACAAATTCCTGAAGGATGAGAGAGTGCAAAAGGCTTAGACAGCATATTTAAGAAAATAATGGCTGAAAAATTCCCAAATCTGGAGACAGATAATCTCATGGAAGCTCAGAGGTTGCCAATCAAATTGAACCCAAAGAGGAGTTTACTATACACATAATAATCAAATTATTAAAAATTAAGATAAAGAATACAGAAAGTAGCTACAGAAAATAAGCATATCACATTCAAGGGAGCCCCAGTACATCTTTCAGCTTATTTCTCAACAGAAATCCCACAGGCCATGAGAGAGTGGGATGGTATACTCAGAATACTGGGGAAAAGAAAGACTATCAACCAAAAATACTATACCTGGTAAAGCTGTTCTTCATAAATGAGGGACAAAAAAAAAACTTTCGAGCAAATAAAAACAGACAAACAAAAGCTAAGGGAGTTTATCACCACTAGGCCTGCTTTACAGGAATTACTAAATGGTTTCTTTAAGCTGAAAGAAAAGGCTTTTAATAACAAAAGATATGTGAATGTAAAAAACTCTTTGGTATAAGTAATGCCTGGTCATACTCTGAATTCTCTAATACTGTAACGGTGGTATATAAAACAATTGTATTCCTACTAGGAGGGTTAACACACAAAAAAATTGAAAACAACTATAGCTAGAATAAATTGTTGAGATAGAAATTACAAAAACAAATGTAAATTTGGACTTCAATATCATAAAAGTTGTTGGGAGGGTGAAAGTGTAGTTTTTATATGCATGTAAAGGCAAGTTGTTATCAGCTTAAAGTAGCCTTTCATAAGGATGAGATATTTTATGTAAGCCTCATGACCACCACAAAAGTAGAAACCTATAGCAGTTTCACAAAATGTAAGAAGAAAGAATTCAAAGCATATCACCACAGAAAACCATCAAACCACAAAGGAAGACAGCAGGAAAGGAAGAAAAAAAGAAGGGACCTAAAAAACAATCAGGAAACAAATTACAAAAAGACAGTAGCAGGTTCTTACCTATCAATAATTACCTTGAATATATGTGGTGTAAATTCTTCAATGAAATGATATAGAGTGGCTGAATGGATTAAAAAAGAAATAAGATCTAACCCCATCCTACCTACAAGAGCCTCACCTTATCAGTAATGATACATGAACTGAAAGAGAAGGGATGGAAAATGGTATTCCATGCAAATGGAAACTAAAAGGGAGCAATGATAACCAACTTACATTAGACAAAATATAGTTTAAGTAAAAAACAATAAAAAGAGACAAAGAAGTTTGTTACATAATGACAAAGGAGTTAATTCATCAAGCAGACATAAAAGTTGTAAATATATGTGCACTAAACATTGTAGCACTGAAATACATATAGAAATTATTAAATGATCTGAAGGGACAGATAGATTGCAATACTGTAATAGCAGGGGAATCTGAACACCACACTTTAAACAATGGACAGATCATCTAGATGGAAAAGAAACACTGGAATTGAATTGTAATTTAGATCAAATAGACCTAATAAATATGTACAGAACATTCCATCCAACAATGGTAAAATACACATTCTCCTCAAATGCATATGGAACACTCTCCAGATAGATCACACATTAGGCCACAAAACAAATCTTAACAAATTTAAGAGAATGAAAATAATACGTGTGATAACAGGTTAACATCCAAAATATATAATGAACTCAAACAATTCAATAGCAAGAAAACAACTCAAATTATATGTTGGCAAAGTACTTGAACAGTCATTTTTGAAAAGAAGACATATAAATGGCCAATAGGTATATGAACAAATGCTCAGCATTGCAAATCATTAGAAAAATCGAAACCACAATAAAAGAGCCAGGCATGGTGGCATCTGCCTGTAATTTCAGCCACTTGGAAGGCTGAGACAGGAGGGATCATTTGAGACCAGCCAGAGCAATATAGTGAGGCTCTGGCTCTGAAACAAAAAATGAAAAATAAAAATAAAAATAAATTATATAATGGGTATCACCTCATACCCATTAGAATGTCTTTATCAAAATGATGAAAGGCAAGTGTTGGGAGAGGATATGGAGAAAAAGGAACTTCTGTATATTATTGGCGGGAATGTATATATTATGGAGGTTCCTCAAAAAACTAAAGATAGAAATATTGTATGACTCAGTAATTCCACTTCTGGGTATATATTCAAAGGAACTGAAATCAATGTCGAAGGGATGTTCATTGCAGCATTATTCACAATAGCTGAGATATGGAAGCAACCTAAGCATCCATCAGTGGATGAATGGATAAAGAAAAGATGGTGTATATACATAATAAACTACTCTTAGACCTTAAAAAAGGGGAAAATGCTGTCACTTGTGACAACATGGATGAATCTGGAGGACCTTATGCTAAGTGAAATAAGCTAGGAACAGAAAGACAAATACTGTATGATTGTACTTTGAACTCATAGAATTAGAGAGTAGAACAGTGGTTACCAGAGGCTGGGGTAAGGGTAGGGGGTTGGGGAGGGAGGGAATGAGAAGTTGTTAATCAAAGGTTACCAAGTTTCTAATAGACAGGAAGAGTAGGTTTTAATATCTATTGCATAGCAAGGCATCTATAGTCAATAATAATGTATTATATACTTCAAAGTAACTAAGATAAATGTTTAAATATTAATTTTAAAAAAAGAAGTGTGGAGGCCAGGCGCGGTGGTTCATGCCTGTAATCCCAGCATTTTGGGAGGCCAAGGCGGGCGGATCACCTGAGGTCAGGAGTTGGATACCAGCCTGACCAACGTGGAGAAACCCCATCTCTACTAAAAACACAAAATTAGCCAGGTGTGGTAGTGCGTGCCTGTAATCCCAGCTACTCAGGAGGCTGAGGCAGGAGAATCGCTTGAACCTGGGAGGTAGAGGTTGCAGTGAGCTGAGATCGTGTCATTGCACTCCAGCCTGGGCGACAAAAGCGAGACTCCATCTCAAAAAAAAAAAAAAAAAGAGGTGTGACTAGAAAGAGTGTCAGAGAAATTGGAAGGGTAACCAGAAATCAGCTACTTTTGGCTATCCTTGTGGGAGAGGGATTTTAGAATTAAACCTCAGACCAATGCCCAGTAAACCAAGTGGAAACTGAGTTTCTCAGAATTGCCTTGCTGGGAGCAAATTGTGTGATATAGAGTGGCTGAATGGAAAAAACAACAACAAAAACAACAAGATCTAACCACATGGTACCTACAAGAGACTCATATTACTAGTAAGGAAACAAACTGAAAGAGAAGGGATGGAGAAAGTTTACCCATGCAAATGGGAACTGATAGAGAGCTGGGATAATTAACTTACATCAGACAAAATAGAATTTAAGTAAAAAACAATAAAAAGAGACAAGGAATTTGAAATCACTTATTTATTGTTGTATAAGTCAACCAGCAAACTATTCTAAGTACCATAAAGGATATGTCTCCATCAGGTTCACATGACATCCTTGGTGTCTGACCATCACTTGCTTAGTAATTCAGCACATCCATGGGCCTATGGAGCTGATGGTGGGAAAACGGGCCTGATTTTGCAGTAGAAAAAAACTGAGCTGGAAAACTGAAGATTTCATTCTGGACTCAGCTTTCCCTGTATATAATGATTGGCTTTCAGACACTTCAGTAACTTCTTGGGGCTGTTTCTTTATGGTGTCATTGGTTTGGGTGGTGGATTGTGTGCCTTTAAGGACATTCCACTTCTGATACCGCTTGATTCTAAATTCCATTTATTCTGTTCCATTCTTTCATTTCTCTCTTTTGTAGTTGAATTTCAAGTAACCAGTTATAGATGTAGCTCAGAGTGCCACATTTTTTGTAAAGATAAGTTTCAGTTTGAAGTCTAACCAGGTGATTATTTTTGATATAAAACCAATTTATTCTTCATATACTGAAGACAAATGTGTACTTCTTTGGAATGATTGCTGTTAGTTATGAGAAGAGATTGTACAGCCATGGAAAAAATATTCGTTATCCATGAACATTCACCCGCTGGTTTTCTTCTAGGTTTCTTCCCCCATTTTGGCAAGCTAATTGAAGTTAGGCTATTTCTAAATAAAGAGATTCACTAATTGCAAGTTGGCCAGTTTCTTGGGAGATTTTGGAAAGTCAAAATAGCTAGAAGGAATTCTAACAACTCTCAAGCCCCAAATCCCTTTGTGGTTGATACAGTTCGATTTTCCCATATTCTTTTCTTGATTTGTCTCATTTCTTCCCTTCACTAGTTTCCCATTTCTGAAGAAGGAAGTAAAGTGTCCGAATTGCATTCAGGGCATTTAAAAAGAATTTGTTCTGCATCTCTAATTACCTTTATCTATTATGTGAGGATTTTACTCACTTTGCCAAATTGCATTGCTACAAAGCCCATTAGGGATTTTTAAAACCAGGATTAGAGCATGCTGCATATTCAGAACTTCAGTTATTAATTCATTTCTAGCAGAAAAATTTTGTTCTAATTATTGTAGCATTGCAATGTTGGACATTGGTCAAAGCTTTCAAAAATGGTTAAAAAAGCAACTTGAATTTACAGTTGACCTTTGAAAACCACAGGGCTTAGGAATACTGACCCACAGTGGAGTCAAATATCTTTGTGTAATTATGAATCCCGTGAAACTTAACTACTAATAGCCTACTGTTGATAGAAAGCCTTAACAATAACATAAATGATGTATACATATTTTGTATGTTATTTTGCTATATGCTGTAGTCCCTCCTTTTTTTTCCTTTTTTTTTTTTTTTTTTGAGACAGAGTCTCACTTCGTTGCCCAGGCTGGTGTGCAGTGGTGCAATCTCGGCTCACTACAACCTCTGCCTCCTGGGTTCAAGCAATTCTCCTGCCTCAGCTCCCTGAGTAGCTGGGATTACAGGCATGTGCCACCACATGCGGCTAATTTTTGATGATGGCCAGGGTGGTCTTGAACTCCTGACCTCAAGTGATCCACCCACCTCGGCCTTCCAAATTGCTGGGATTAGATGTGAGCCACCATGCCTGGCTGCTGTATTCTTACAATACAGTAAGACAGAGAAAGAAAAATATTATTAAGAAAATCATAAGGAAAATAAAATATATTTACTATTCATTAAACAGAAGTGGACCATCATAAAAGTCTTCATCCTTGTTGTCTTCACTTTAACTAGGCTGAGGCGGATGAGGAAGATGAGGGTTTGCTCTCAGAGACAGCAAAGTGAAAGAGGTAGTGGAAGTAGAAGGGGAGGCAGGAGAGGCAGGCACATTTGATGTAGCTTTATGGGAATAAATTATAATTTATCTGAATTTTTGCTTTTTTATTTCCTCTAAAAATGTCTCCATAGGCTACTGATACTCCTTCCACCATTTGGTTGTTTCAGTGCTTTTACCATGGAAGGGTTTATAGCATAAAAGAAGTCAAAAGCAGTCCTGAATAATGGGAACCCTTCTTTCAGCTTGTCTAATGTCAATTTGTTTTCTGGCACTACTTCTTTTATGTCTTCCTCATCATCTGGTGCTGGTTTGGAAGCACTCATCTCCATCAAGTCATCTTCCATCAACTTCTCTGGTGTGGTATCTACTAGCTCTTGAATTTCTCCAAGGATCATATCTTGAAACCCTTTCCCCCAACCTTTTCTGCCATGTCCACAATCTCTTTCGTGATTTCCATGATTGACTCTGTGGTAAATCCTGTAAAGTCATGCACAACATCTGGACATAATTTTGTCCAACAGGAATTTATTGTGTCAGGATTTGATGGCGTTCATAGCTTTTACTATAACGGTTATGGCATCTTCAATATTGTAATTTGTTCACACTTAAATGATGTCCTCTCAATTGGGGCTCTCCCAATAGTGTTGACAATTCTCTCCATAGGGTACCATGTGTAATGATCCTTAAATATCCTAATGATTCCTGATCTAGAGACTGAATTAGAGACATTGTATTTGGGAGTACGTAGGCTACTTAGATACCTTTGTGTTGAATACATGGGGTTCTGGGTGTTCAGGAGCATTGTCCAGTATTAAAAGAACTTTAAAAGACAGTCTCTTACTGGCAGGGTACTTCCTGACTTCGGGGATAAAGCATCAATGAAATAAATCCAAGAGGATTTTTGTTGTCCAGGCCTTCTTGTTATGTAACTCAAAGACTGGCAGCTGGTGTTTCCCTTTTCCTATCAAGGCTCAGGAGTTAGCAGCTTTAAAAATAAGGGCAATGCAAATTTTAAACTCAACTGCATTTGCACAAAACAGCACGGTTAGCGTATGCCTCCTGCCTTAAGTCCTGGTAATTTCTTCTCTTCTTTACTAATAAATGTCCTAGGTGGTACTTTCTCCTCCAGACTAGAGCATTTACATTTGCATTAAAAACCTGTTCAGGTAGATATCCTTTCTCAATAATTTTCTTAATGGCATCTAGATGCTTATCTGCTGCCTCTTAGTTGGCAGAAGCTATTTCAGCTGTCATCTTGACATTTTTAAAGACAAATCACTTTCTAAAATTATCAAACCATCCTTTGCTGGCATTTAATTCTTTTTGCTCAAAGTATCATATAATGAATTTGCTTTGCTTTCTCTTGAATCTTGAATCTATAGGGGTGCCTTTCTTATAACAATTCTGTACCCACATAAAAGCTGCATTTTCAACATGAAATAAAAAGGTGTTTCACAAAAACTGCAGTGTTGTCGCACCTATTGGTGTAGCTGCGGAGATGACCTCACAAATTTTCTTTTCTTCTTTTTTTTTTTTTTTTTACAATTATCCTTATGCTGAATTCAGTTATTTTGAAATGGATAGCAACCACAGCTGGAGACCTCAATCTACGGTATGTATTAAGCAGCTCAACTTTTTCTTGTAATGGCATGACTTTTCTCTGATTCTTGGGAACACTCAGCATCACTAGTGGTGCTTTGAAAGTGTATGTATCCTGTGGTGTTATTCGAAGTTTATGGCATTGTACTAAACACAATGAAAAATACGCAAGAACCATGGGAGGTCACTTTGTACTGTGATACCCAATTTACTGGAGAGATGAACTGCTCACACAAAGATGATTAGTTTCACATGATATTTTAAGTGTATGCTTGCAACACTTGAGCTCACTACAATAGCAACAGGAGGTGGCTACAAAGTTATTACAGTAATACAGTGTGGACTATAGTTAAATTTATGCAGTTATGATTTAATACTGTACCTTTTAAGTTTGTTTACATTTCTCTCAACTGAAAATGGCTCCATGTGTTATCTGTAAGTGTTTGTGTGCATAAATTTTGATAAATGTTAACTTTTTACAATAGATTTTATGGTAGTAATTGCTAAAATGGATTAGTATCTCTATATACTTTGTGCATTAATGACATCTTTTTCTTAAGTTGTACAATATTTCTTAATTTTTAAAATACATGGTTCATCTGCAAGTTTTTTTCAAATTGTTGCAAATCTTCAAAAAAATTTTCCAACATATTTTTTGAAAAACATCTGCATATAAGTGGACTCACACAGCTCAGGCCTGTGTTGTTCAAGGGCCAACCATGTTTTATTTCATTTTTGCTTTTTAAAAAATGTTTTCCCAGCTTTATTGAGATAATTGGCTCATAAAATAGTATATATTTCAGGAGCACAAAGTGATTTGCCATACATACACATTGTGAAGTGGTAACTATCCTACAATCAAGTCAGTTAATACATCCATCACCTTGCATAGTCAGCTTTTTTTGTAGGTGTGGTGAGAACACTTAAGATCTACTCTTTTATACATTTTCAAGTACATAATATGGTATTATTAACTGTCATCACCATGATGTACATTAGCTCTCCAGAACTTCATCTTATAACTGAAAGTTTGCAGCCTTTCACCAGCATTCCCCATTTCCTCCACTCCTCAGCCTCTGACAATCACCATTCCTCTCTCTGTTTCTGAGTTTGACTCCTTTAGATTCTACATGTAAGTAGGATCATACAGTATTTGTGTTTCCCTGTCAGGCTTATTTTACTTAGCATAATTCCCTGCAGGTTCATCTATGTTGTCACAAATGGCAGGATTTCTTGCTTTTTTGTGGGTGAATAATATTTCATTGTAAATTTACACAGTTCTTAATCCATTCATCAGTTGATGAACAGAGTTTTTTCCGCATATTGGCTATCATGAATGCTACAGCGATCATGGAAGTACAGATACCTCTTTGAGTTATTCCTTTTGTTTCCTTCAGATAAACAGAACAGGAATTGCTGGTTACATGGTAGCTTTATTTTTAGTTCTTTGAGGAGCTTCTATACTATTTTCCATAATGGCTCTACCAATTCACATTCCCACCAACAGTGTACAAGGTTCCCTTTTCTCTCCATCCTTTGACAACACTTGTTATCTTTTGTCCTCTTGATAGTAGCCATCCTAATAGGTGTGAGGTGTTCTCTCATTGTGGTTTTGATTTACACTTCTCCCATGAGTAGTTGTGTTAAGAATCTTTTTTTTTGTTGAGATGGAGTTTTGCTCTTGTTGCCCAGGCTGGAGTGCAGTGGCACAATCTCGGCTCACTGCAACCTCTGCCTCCCAGGTTCAAGCAATTCTTCTGCCTCTGCCTCCTGAGTAGTTGTGATTACAGGCGCCCATCCCCATGACCAGCTAATATTTGTATTTTTGGTACAGATGGGGGTCTCACCATGTTGGTCAGGCTGGTCTCGAACTCCTGACCTCAAGTGGTCCACCTGCCTTGGCCTCCCAAAGTGCTGGGATTGCAGGCATGAGCCACCATGCCTGGCCGTGGTAAGTACCTTTTCATGTATCTTTTGGCCATTCATGTATCTTCTTTGAATTTATTTTAAAATATATTGGTTGATTACATTCTGTGGCCAAAATAAATATATCACCCCTCTCCCTTATACACAACACCACTCATTGTACTGTGATACCCATATTTTTATCCTACATTCTAAGGGCAGTCAACAAATAATGCCATGCCAATTTGCAATATTTAAAGTCAGCCACATAATAATATTGATAGTAACAGATTTCTTAAAGTTGAAAATCCTAAATATAAAATCACTTCAGCTCAGAACATTTACGCAAAACAAATTTTATAAGTCATGGGAGAAACAGATGTCTAGATGAAGCTCTTCAGTGGAAAACTTATGTTTGCCTTCATTGAGTACCACAGGGTTCACCTCAGCTAACGTGGTGAAGTGTGTTTATAAGCACTTCTATTTGGGCACTTTTTTCCTGACACCTCCCTCAATCATAAGTGTTTTATATCTCTCACTTTCCTTTTCTGCTTAGCAAAAAATCCTCATAGCTAGTCACACAAAGAATTCTTGGTTATTGGATTAATTATTAAAGACAACTGTTCTGAATTGTAGCCTGAAAAAGCCTTTCCTATTTTTTCAATAAATTACAGGCATCTACATATCAGAAAATATTTGAGTAGAAGGGTGAAGAGGCCTCTGAAATGATGTCGTGACCAACTGCTTGGACCTTTATTTCCCATGATTTGAGTAGCAGAGGATAGAAATATTTAAATGATGGAATCACATCTATTGATGATATTGTTCCCCTTTGTAGGTTGGCTGAGGCTACATCAGGAAGCTAAGGAGCCAAAGGAACCTAGAATTCACTTCAGCAGCTCTCTGGTCTTTACACTAGGACACAGGCCCAGCCTTTTCTTTGCTACCTGTAATCTGAATCCCTTCCTAACTATGTTAGAAGACTTGTTGGTGAGGGTGTGTAGATAAAGTTCTGGTGTTTGCTGCCTCCGGATTTAATACATTATAAATGTGACAGGTGTGAATTGTGTTCCCTAACACTCAGATGTAAGATGTTATGATTTTTTTTTTAAATTTTGGCAAGCTTAATAAGGCTCCATATCTACAGTCAGCAGGTTGTTAAAAATACTAAAACCGCAAACTCACTAATTTGACAGCATTCCACGACTTCCATTAAGCGGGGCCACAAATTGGGAGGTTTCTTTGGTGTCTAGAACAGAGAACAGGACCTGGCCTTTAGTCAGTAGCATTCCTCTCTGTCTTCACAGTCAGTACTGGTGATCTTTCTGGTCAGTCTCAGGCTTCACATAGGGCTTCCTCTTGCAGGAGTCCTGTCTGCAGACTATGAGCTTCCCCTGCTCACCCACAGGGACTTCCTCTGCTGCTCTGAATATGCAAGTCCTGGGAGCAGCAGCTGAATGTGTAGAACTCTGTCCCAATGATCTGGACTCTGCACACCAGTAGGATCCAGGACTCTGTTACTCACAGAAACACCCCCATAGTCCCTGGCTCTTTCCAAGTTTAAGGGAAGTCAACTTTTCCTCCTCAATTTACCCACTCCAGTTTTCTCCCACTCTTAAGCATACCCTATCCACTTCACCCCTAAACTTTGGCTCTGAGCCTCTTTTTGTGTTTTTATAAACAACTGTGTTTAGTTCTACTTCAGAAAAGAGAAGGTCCATTTTTCTTGGATTCAGAGGCTTAGGTACTCTCTTGAATGTGTGTGTTGGAGATGGGGGATGGGCAAGGCTCCTTTGACACTTTAACAAAACACAATTTAATGTCTCAGTATATTGTACTGTCACCACCTGACTCTTTGTCAGAATAGAGATTGATTACTTAGGCTTTTAATATTTTTGATTGTTGTAGGTTTTTTTTTTTTTTTTTTTTTGGATACTGCAAGGCGGGGAGAAGGGCTGATAAAGTATGTGTATGTTGAGTAGGGCCCAAACATATGTGTTCAATAGCAGTAGAGTTGCACAATATCCTAAGAAAGTAAAGCAAGGAAAATAGAGCAAAATTCCACATAATGTGAAGAGGAAAATTGTTGGAAGGATATATACTTGGCAGTACTGAATTTAAGTATTGGCATTTGCCCTTTCAAAATGTGCTTATTAAGAGAAGTGGTACTTGAACATTAACAAAGTGATTAGGTTAGAAGAAACATGTGAAACAGAAGCATGCTTTTGAATAAAGGGTAATGTTATTTTTATGTATTGTTTATTCATTTTTTGTTTATTTCAAAATTGGTACACCTGCAGTACTGGAGCTTCAAAGACAATGTCTCCACTGTCAATGATTAAACACTTGTGCAAGGGAGTCAGATATGCCTGGTGCTGATAATACCATGGTGGGTTCAGTGCAGTCAGGATGGTGTGAATGAAGAACTTCTAGAACACTAAGGAATATGTAAAATATACCCTTCTTCTGAGGAAGTAGAGTTGACATTTGAGCTTGAAGGACCAATTGGAATAAGGTTTCCGAAATATGTTATGATGGGTGGGAGTGTGGAATTGCAAGCAAAGCAAAGAGTGTGACCAAACTGGCAACGTTGGAAACTGATCATAGACTGTTTGAGGAATGGCAGGTCCCCTGATAAAAGCAGTGCCAGGAGAGAGTTGCTAAGCCTGGAAAGAGCCTTGCAAGAGTATTCAAAGAATAAGGGCTTCGTTTCACAGGCAGTGAGGAACTGTCGTCATCCTTAAGCTGGACAGTGATGTGTTCAGACTGCTGGGTCTATTCTTCCTCCGTTCTTTCCTTCCTTTCTTCCCTCTTGATGATTTCCATGCTTTGTGGAGGTTGTGTTAGAGTAAAAATAAAAAATACATAAAGCGTGGCACTGTCATTCTCTGCTAGTGGAGATGCAAACTGACACAGCTCTTCTGGAGGAAAAATAGGTGATACATAACAAGACCAACTTTTAACTCAGGATCTTACTTTCAGTAATTTATGCAAAAGATCTACCTGCAAGAATATGAAAAGACAAGTGGATAAGATTATTTACTGTAGTATTCTTGGTAATAGCAAAATATTAGATGTTTTGCTATTACCTAAATATTCACACCTAAGAGAATGGTTGAATAAATGATAGTGCAGCTACACAGTGGAGTACAATGCAACTGTAAAATAGAGTGAGGAAAGTTACTGTGAATTGATTGCTATTGAATAATGTCCAGGATATGCTGTAAAGTGGAAAGGCAAAGTGCAGAAGGGTTACTCTGAGATATTCCTTACTTAATAAAATAAAAAGGATATATGAAAAATAAGCATGCACCTGCTAATTTGTACAAGAGAAATACTGGAAAGATAAATCAGAAACCAGTGAAATAAATTACCTATAGGAAGTGGATGAGGAAGGAGTAGAAGGAAGAGGACCGAGGTAGTAGAGATGAGGAAGAACAGCACTTCTCTTATGCCTTAGTTTAGCTTGGCCTTTAGGAAGTAGAGTAGACTGGGCATGGTGGCTCACGCCTGTAATCCCAGCATTTTGAGAAGCCAAGGTGGGCACATCACCTGAGGTCAGGAGTTCAAGACCAGCCTGGCCAACATGGCAAAACGCCATCTCTACTAAAAATACAAAAATTAGCTGGTTGTGGTGGCACGTGCCTGTAGTTCCAGCTACTTGGAGGCTGAGGTAGGAGAATCACTTGAACCCGGGAGGTGGAGGTTGCAGTGAGCTGAGATTGTGCCACTGCACTCCAGCCTGGGCAACAGAGAGAGACTCCCTCTCAAAAAAAAAAAAAAAAAAAAAAAAAAAAAAAAAAAAAAAAAAAAAAAAGCAGAGTAATGTTTCATCTATTTAAAAATAAATAAAATTAACCAAGAAACCAAAGGGAATACAAGCAGTAATAAATGAACTTCACTGTATTATAAATGACTCCACCTGGAGGAAGAAGAAAAACTAACCTAAGTAACTTTGGAAAACAATATTCTGACTAGATATTATGAAACTAAAGTTTAGAAGATGCATAAACAAATAGCAAATACTGTACTTCAGTTAGTAACTTTGTTTCCCACAGGGTGTGGATTAGTAATTGTGAAGTTACTTTTGATGTTCTTGGATTGAGGAAATAGTATTCTATAGATAATGAGAGGTGGATTTCTTTGTATTGAAAAAATCAAGTTACAAATAAGGAGAGGGAGGAATATAGAATAAACCCTGTGGTGTTGGATTGGGATGAGAGTTATTAATATGAATGCATAGGTTTTCATGTATATGCAGATAGACACCAATAGGAATACAGATGTGTGTGTATGTTTATGTGTATACATCCATGTATTTCCTAGCTCTGCCTATTGAGAGGGACTAGAAGCACTGAAGCTCCAGTAGCAACAAGCACACCTTGCTCGTAGATCTTGGTTTCTAAATACAGTTTTTTAATGAAAGAAATTATCTCCTTCAAGAAATTACTGATTCCAGAGATGGAACAGGGAGAATGTAAGATGACCTTGAGATGTCTTGTGGTGCCAGAAAGTACGAAGGGGTCCAAAAAGGATAAGGACATGTTGAAAGGATACAAGATTCAACCTGCAAGAGTTCCCAATGGTCAAAGGTGGCACAGCTTGAGCAAATAAGTCAATAAATAACAATGGTATTCCATTATAACCTATAGGGTAAATTAATATCTAGATGAGTCCTTATTGGTACAAATGTTAAGAGCTTTAGACCAATTTCACAGAGGTTATCTAAGCAAAACCAATTCATCAATCAGGCAGCACTCAAAACCAGAAGAGGTTTAAAGAGCTCCATCCAGTAACCTGAGTAGCAAGCTATTACAAGCTGAACGTGGAAGCAAGGTAGAGAAATCATCTGATTAGTTACAGCTAGGCGTTTGCCTTACTTCGGCATGGTAGGCTGAGGTATTTCTGTTATTTAGCATAGCGTATTGAGTTGGCTGCCTCTGATTGGCTGAAATATGGCTGTTACAAAAACTATACTACCAAATTACGTTTTGGTTTGTTTGCATTCTTAGGTTAGGTTGTTGCAGTTTGTTACATAGGAACGTTAAGTACAGAGGCAGCCTCAAACAAATGGCCTCCTTCTTATATAATTTACTATAAATAAACACTTGAATAGAAGAATGGGGAGAGGGAACTTTTTTTGTTTTCACGGAATTTGATTTAAAAATGTAAAAAGAATGAAGGAAATGGAAAATCTCTTGGGTAAATAATACAGTAATTATTGACGCAGGCAGGATGTACAGGAACTCTTGATGCAAAGTAAGTCTAAAATTATTCGACACGGACAGAGAGAGAGAATGAGAGAGAACAAACCTGGGAGATGAATTGTGAAATTTGGCAATGGCGAGGCCATGAGTTAGAGCAATGTAAAATTTTATGCCTGATAAAATGGGATTAGAGGTGCTGGGGGAAGGAGGGAGGAAGAAGGGATAGAATTGGATCTGTTAATCCACTTTGGATAAATTCAACAGCTTACCCTTATATTTGAAATATTTATTTAGCATTGAGCAGCTCAGTGGTGCCAGTGACTTTGAAGGAATGAGAGAAGCTCTGAGTCTCCAAATTGAGATGGGCTGAGAGCCAAATCTGGAAAATCCTTTCATGGGAGAAATTCAATCTCTCCACTATTTCCTTTTGTTAGGATTCTGGATGTCTCCCTTGTTATAAAAGGAGAGGGCTAAACCAAATACAACTGAAAAATGATGCAACAAAATGACCTTATCACCAAATGAGAGCATCGCAGGGCACTCCATGGTTTCTTTTCCTCAGATGCTGTGCTTCACCAGGGCTTTTAGACGATTTTAGAAAGCTGTTTTAGAGAACCTTCCTTCTGTGACCAGCTGTAATAAGGGTTGGGTTGTGCACGCAAGTGCACATGATAGACCAAAGAGAGTAGGGATTTTGACTGGATGCTGTCTGAAGGCACAATAGAAAATGAGTTAAATTTCTTTTAAAAAAATCTTTTAATTTTTTGGAGAACACATTAAAGCATTTGTGAAGATCTTGTATTGCAAAGTATTAAAGAGAAAAGAAAAACTTACGGTATAGGTAATAGATTTGATATACATTTGGACTTTAAGGTATTAAATATTGCACAAGATAAGTATGCCATCCTCTGTTAGATAAAACAGTCTTAATAAAAGTGACCACTAATACTTTATATGTATACATTTTAATGTTTATAAAACCCTACAATGTAGTTAATATCCTTGCATTTTACAAATAAGGAATCAAACGTTTGGAGAAGCATTATCTGATAGAAACATGCAAGTCACAAATTTGAGTTATGTATATAAGTTAAGTTTTTTGCAGCCACAATAAAAAAGAGAAAAAGAAACAGGGGAAAGTAATTTTAAATATATATGTTATTCAACTCAATTCATCCAATATAATATTATGTCAACATATAATCAATATCAAACATTATTAATGAGGTATTTTTCTTTTTTTAATATACTAAGTCTTTGAAATCAGTGCCTATTTCTACATAGAGCACATCTCAATTTGGATGCTAAATTTTCACTGGAAATACTTATTTGATCTGCATTACAATTTTATAAAATGTTTAGTTGAAATAATAGGTTTATAGACCCAAAGTATTCCAACATGCCTAAAAGTTTTTCCAATAATTAAAGGATCTACTTTTAAATTTTAATTTTATTTAATTGAAACAGAATAAAATGTATAATTCAGCTTCCCAGTCACAGTAGCCACATTTCAAGTGTTCAGTAGAATACATGGCTAATACATGGCTAATATTCAGTAGAATACATGGCTAAACAGTGTAGGTTTAGATAATTAGAATTAATTACTCAAAGGCTTAGAGCTCATAAGTGCTGGAACCAACATTTAAATCTGAGTTAACTCAGAATTTCATGATTTTATCTCTAACTTCTGGTATAAAAATTCTGTTGCATAGCAGAAGTTGTGTAGTAATGAGAGTTTACTTAGTTGGATACATTCTCTCCTCTGCTTTTTGATAATTGTACTGAAGTTAATGGGCTCGAATGCCTAAAATCAATTGTCCACTGTGAGGCAGCTTGTTTATGGGTTTTGAAGAGGAGGCAGGCCTTCTGAGAGCAGCAAGCACACTTCACAGGCAACAATGCTAATGTAGTTCTTAGTTAATCTTAGTCATTACCACAACAAAATGAGGACATGTAAATGATCAGCTAAAGCCATTTTACTCAGGAGGCTTGTGCAGTTTACTCAGGTTCTCTAGTTGTATTTTATAAACAGTCTAAGTTGTTTATCCTTGTCATGGTGCTTTTAATTTTGTTTTGTATGTTTTGGAGCTCCTCCATGTTAAAAAAACAAAGGCTATTAGACTGCATTTCTCAAAGGGACTCACGTGGATCTCTCCATGAGATTTGACTTCTAAAACAAAGAAAGTCTTGACAGAATCCCTTGATTGGCAGGAAAAATTGCCCTGGACTTGGTTTTTTTTTCCTTAAGTGTCACAAGAGAATCATTTTCATATTTCACATATTTCACTAATAATATATTCTAAACCCCACAAACACACTGGTTTGATTTCTCAATAATGGCCTCTCTGATACAGACATGGTTCTCAGGGAAGATATTTACTTGCTGTTGATTTGCATTTTTGACAGCACATTTTACTCTACTTAGGAAAAAAAAAGTGTTAGGCAATATCTGTTGATGAAAGAAGAAAACCCGTTTCTTGACTTTGACCATTCTTTAGATGGCGGAATGTTGTTTTTGTATGGGGGGAGGAAAAGAGGAAAAAAAATTGAATGACATGCCAGCAATTTTAGTTAATTTCATAATAACTTAATCTATGTCAGACAAAGTAAAATGAATCACAACCTAAAAGGAAATGACTTTTTAATGAAAATTGTTCAGGCGTGTCATTTATGCTGTAAGTGCACAAGCGTGTGTATGCGTGCATGTGTGTGTTTTCCTATTCCAGACAGAAAAGCTGCTAAACAGAAAAAAAAGAAGAGTGAATATTAAAAGACTGTAATAATTTTGTAAGCCAGTGTTATGTTTTTCTCTTTCGTTTTCTATATGAAATGTTGGATGCAGATTATATGGGATAAAATAATTGTTCTCTCTCTGAACTATAGTCACAGTGTGACCTATTGGGTTTGCTCTATTTACTGTGTCTGCAGCATAATTATTAAGACTTAGCTGCTCTCCCAAATAGTTACAGATGTGGGAGAAAAATAAATTACTTTTGCATGCTAGCCCTGGAAGTCGTGCTGTTGTAATATAATGTAATCAGCTATGAACAAAAGGAAGTTATTATATTCATTTATATTAGTTTGAAAGCCTCAGAAATGTATTATATTATTTTAGGCTGAAGAATTGAAGCAGTGCCATTGATGATTTTTTTCCATGATCGTCCAGCTTTACTCTGAAGGTCATCCTCATGAAATGGCAATAATTTCAACCTTATCATTTTAAGAAATAAGCAAATTATGATAGCGGTCATCAAATATTTGAAAACATATGAAAGAGAGGTTATATTTGTTCTATGTGACTCCAAGTGAGAAGTAGGATGGATAGACGTAAGTGACAAGACAAATTTTAATTGAATATAAATGAAGAAATAACCACGGTCAGAACTATCTTAAAATAGCATGGAATTCTTTTAGAGTTGGTAAGTTCTCAGTGGCTTATGTCCCACCAGTAGGTCCCTTCCCTTTAAGTCCAGAGATTCTCTAAAATTAAATAGATGGGGTTCAAAAAACAGAGAGACCATCTAAAGTCCTTTATATTCCAACCCAGACACCCAGGAAATCACCCCTCTGGAGGAAGCCTGGGTTTTTAGTAAAATACCATAGAATTGTGTGTGAGCCACTTTGATACCAAGACTTTTGGGCGAAATTCCTTTCTTTTCTTTTTTCTTCTCTTCCTTCCTTTCTTTCTTTCTTTTTCTTTCTTTCTTTCTTTCTTTCTTTCTTTCTTTCTTTCTTTCTTTTTCTTTCTCTCTCTCTCTTCTTTCTTTCTTTTCTTTCTCTTTTTCTTTTCTTTCCCTCTTTCTTTTCTTCCTCCCTCCCTGCCTGACTCCCTCTCTTTCTCTTTTCTCTTTCTTTCTCTCTTTTTCTTTCTTTCTTCCTCCCTCCATCACTCTCTGCCTCTTTCTTTCTTTCTCTCTTTTCTTTCTTTCTCTCTTTTTCTTTCTTCCTCCCTCCCTTCTTCCCTCCCCCTCCCTCCCCCTCCCTCCCTCTTTCTTTCTTTCTTTCTTTTTCTCTCTTTCTTTTTCTTTCATTCTTTTCTCTCTCTCTCTCTCTGATGTTTTTTCTTCTTACCAATATATAAATGATACTTTTTCTGCTTACCACACAGAAATATGATTAGGATAATATGGCTTTCTGTGAGATAAATTAATCCATTTGCTAAACTTGATGTAAGTAAACAACACTGCAATAGAAGGATAGCTAAGTGTTTTGTTCTTCACCTGAAATGTGAAAAGAATAAGGGGAATTTGTCTTAAACTATACAGAAGACTGAATAAATGATTTGAGGTATATGAAAAAATGTAAAATTAGGAACATTGGAATCGGCGATGTGTGTGTGTGTGTGCGCGTGTGTGTGTCCTCTGATGAGATGGCTTCAATATGTTCTCACCTAATGGAATTTGCTTAAAAATATCCACTGAGGTTTTTTTGTTTAACAGTTTCTCAAGATTATCAATTATATTTTTAGGTTAAAATATAATTTTATAAGCATAATTGTAGTCATTTTTAAAGGGAGAGATGCTTTTAACTTGTTAGGACTTTTAGCCAGTCCTAACATGTTAAAATTTTTCTGTGGTTTTGCCTGAATACTATGAAGACTACTTATTTACAGAAAAAGAGAGTGAACAAGAGAGAGCAGTCTATACTGCCTAAAAGTGATATTTTGAGTGAACTTTATTTTTGTCTCGAAATCTTTAGTGAAATATTAGTAACTGTTGGTTACTAACCAGTTCATGTATTAGCTATTTCAGGAAGGTGATTACTTTAGATTTACATTGGGAATTAGAGAATAAAGGCCTTCTGTAATAAAATCATCACCATCATGAATTGTCTCCAAAATTTTACATTGAAGATGTTCATATGGAGTATCTGCTTAAGTTGGAATACACTTCTTGGATGGCTAGACATTTTTCTATGCCTACATTTCCATTTCTGTTTGGAATAGTTCAAAATGGTTTAACTAAAAATTTGATCCATCATTGATAGATCAGATTCATGCTGTTTCATTGTTATTTTTCTTGTTGTATTTAGTTTGTCATTTGAGATTTCCAGTTTGAGCTATTTGTCAAATCTCAAATTTCGTCAGCACAAATGTATTCACAATTGTGAAAATTACAATGATGGTCTATCCCACAGTATCCAATCTTTTGGCTTCCCTGGGCTACATTAGAAGAAGAATTGTCTTGGGCCACACATGAAATACACTAACACTACTGATAGCTGATGAGCTAAAAAAGAAAAAAAAAATTACAAAAAATCTCATGTTTTAAGAAAGTTTACGAATTTTTGTTGGGCTCTGTTCAAAGCTGTCCTGAACTGCATGTGGTCCATGGGCCGCAGGTTGGACCAGCTTGGCCTATCCCATAAGATAACTTAGAATTCAAGAACAGAACTTAACTTTGAGGTCAATAATGTCTTTGTAGTGACTCATTACTACTTTTTACTGATTACAGGTCATCTAGACAAGAGTCCTTATCTGCCTGATGTTTTCTGATCTAGATTTTGTACTTTGTTGAGGGGCCTAGGTGAGGAGGCATTATTAGTCTAAGCAGCAGATATTAAGTATTATACGACATGGTTCAGACAACTGCTGTTTGACTGGTACTAGTTACTAATGGGACAGTGAGAAGACCTAAAAGTTTTTCTTTGGTTAAGTGAGGAGAGGCTCAAGAAAGAGTTAGCAGGGATGGACAGGGGAAAAGGGAAGCCTGAGTTAGTGGAAAATAATTTAAATTGCCTTAGATTTAATTGATAGAGTTTGCAATAGAAAGGAAAGGCAGGCAATGCATGGTCACTTGCAGTGAACCTGGTTTAATTAACCTCGCATTTCCACTAGTGCAGTCTTTTGGGTAGGTGAGGGGAAAATGCTGTGGGATAGAATTGACCTTGCCTTCCTACACATGCATATGGAAATGCCACGCAGGAACTTTACAGTTAATATTGATTCAATGTCAGAAGCACAACATTGATTGCAATGGAAAAGACTGTTGGGGGGAAACTTCTGAAATTTTCATTTGGAATGTGTGAAAGTGCAAGCCCTAATTATTGGCATATGTGGCGATATTGAGGGTATGCACTCAGGCCTGTGATAATCGACTTCTCATTTGCTATAGAGGCAACTTTTTCATACCAGTTTGATTATGCTTTATATATTTCTTACTAAGAAGAAGGAAATGCTTGCTATATAACCAAAAGAGATTCCTATTTTAAGCCTTTTCTATGTCACAATGTATGTGTGTGTGTGTGTGTGTGTGTGTGTGTGTGTGTATCTGTAAATATAATCTTAGAGGTGGCAGCCTTTATTTTAACACATGATATTTGTGTACCATGGGTTTCTGTCAAGGAGGTATTCTGTCAGCAAGTAATTAACAAGGCCTTACATTGAGTAGGTGTGACCAAATTCTCATGGGTTACTATAATGCTACAATCTCATCTGGGATTCCATTTTGTGCCTGGAATCCAAGGACACTCTTACCTTGAAACTATAGATATGAACAGGTTTCATGACCACAGTCCTGGGTTAACCACTACCCCAGGGAAGTCCAATTAACAAATTTATTCATTTGGGCCCTATTACACTTCTCCTGTCAACTCTAATTACTTATTTTTGAAATAAAAACTTTGACCTTCACAATGGTCCCCAGTGCCGTTCAGTGAATGATAATCTGTTTGAATCTCTTCAGCTTTATTAGAATTTCACAGGTCTGCCATCTGGTAGTAGGAACCAAAGCTCGATCAATATTTATACATACAAAATGACACTTCCTGAGAAGGGATGGTTTCCATGCATGGTCCATGTTTATACTAGAATTACAAACACAGCCATGACTTGTGAATCAATAATGATTATTCCTTTATTAAGAAAACTGAGACTTTAAGCACCTGTAAGCCTTTTTGTTTCAACTGTTATTGACTATCTTTCAAAAATGCATTAATACATTTGCTTGCCATGGTAAATTCTGTAAATTGAAAAAAAAAATTATGATTATTCCATGCCATGGATGTTTTAGTCTTTAACAGGGAAGAATCATCATGCTATGAAACTTAGAGGACATGAAGCTTGTGTCAACTGGTAAAAGGGAGGAGAGAGCCCGGCTGGCTAGATAGGGGTGGTGATTTTAAGACCATTGCTTACCATTTGCCTTTTACCTGGTGCCTTCCAGAAAAACTGTTTTCCATAAAAACACTGGCTGAGGGTCGATCCCTAATCAGCTGGGCTCTCATTCTTCCTCATGAACAATTCTGGGACCTTCAAACACTTGTGAAATGCCCCCACATTTTTTTTGTTATCACCAAGCAATGATGATGCCTATTTCAACCTGTAGACTGGGAAACTGAAGTGTGACTCAGATTAATAACAGTGCTACCAAAAGTCGTATATTTGCAAAACAGAAGGCACTGCAGTGATTTCTAGCCCTACTTCCCCTGTTGCAGGTGCAACACTGAGGTACAGGAGAGTTAAGCCCCGCATTAGTTGCCATAGTCACATCATCATTTGCTCAGGGATAACACCCAGAATCATTGTGTATCCTATGTCTCTCTCATGGCTCATGCAAGTTCTTCTCAGGATTTGTGGGTCTTTGACTATGTTAACTGGGAAATATGTGTCTGGATGTCCTTGGTTAATGTGAATATTAGTTAAGTGTAAGTCTCCTTTGAAACAAGCCAAGGACACTAAAATTAAATATCAATCCCAAAGGTTAGTTGTGGATAGTTGTTATTATTAGCTTTCAAACATTATTTGTTCTAGGCTGAAATACCAGAATTCCTATGAACCATTTCTCTCACATTTTTTTTCATTGCAAGTTACTGTTTATTACCTAGTAATGTAGAGTCTTCTCAAGCTTTAAAAGATGTAAGCCTCTCATAGGGAACTTATTTAAAATGCAGATTCCAAGGTTCTATCTCCCAGAAATTGCTATTCACTAGTTCTGGGATAGGGCCCAAATAATTGCATGTTAAGCAAGAATTCCAGGCAATCCTGTTACAGATAATCAAAACAATTGTGAGAATCTTCAACCTAGTATACCAACTTTGAATTTTGATTAATTTTAAATTTAGTGATAGTTTTACTGATAAGTTATGAATTACAATATTGTTTTTAAATGAAATATTCATAAGTGTTTCTGCAGTTTTGAGGTTATTCAAGATTCTTCATATCTTGACCTCTATTCTGATAATTTTATTTTTATATTTAGACACATTATTCAAATACCCTTGAAAGTTTCTAGTGTCTCTTTAAAAAGACTGCAGTGCCATAGAAATTAATACCTTATTTTCTAATTTTGTTTATGTTTTAGTATATAATCCAGTGTGGAATTGATGTTCTGTTTGCTTTAATATCTTCTTTGCAAATCTCCCAATAAATGCGTAAATGAAATACAAGGGATAGGGAGTAAGCTATGCATAAATTACCTGAAATTGTTAGGCTTTCAAGAATTTACAAGTAATTTAGGCTGGGAGCGGTGGCTCATGCCTGTAATCCCAGCACTTCGGAGGCTGAGGCAGGCCGATCACTAGAGGTCAGGAGTTCGAGATCAACCTGGCCAACATGGCGAAACCTTATCTCTAATAAAAATTCAAAAATCTGCCGGGTGTGGTAACGCATCCCTGTAATCCCACCTACAGGGGTGACTGAGGCAGGAGAATTGCTTGAACCCAGGAGGCTGAGGTTGCAGTGAGTTGAGATTGTGCCACTGCACTCCAGCCTGGGTGACTGAGACCCTGTCTCAAAAAAATAAATAAAAATAAAAATAAAAATAAAAAAATTTGCAAGTAACCTACAAAGCTCTGTAAGGCAAAGCACATTCTAGATAGTTTTTCTGTCTTTTCCTGACCTTTCATCTGTGTGTCTCTTCATCTTCTTTTTAGGATACTAGTGCCGGTGGATCAGTGCTTCACTCTTATGATTTTATTTAACTTTAAATACCTCCTTAGAGGTCCTATCTCCAAATATGCTCATGCTGAGGGTTAGGGGTTCAATATATGAATACCTGGGGAACACAGTTGGGTCCATATGATGGATAAATAGGTAAAAGTAAGACATAGTTAGCTTTCAGAGACACAATTTAGTGGGCAAGCAGGACTAGATACAGTGTCCACCCTAATTTGACAAATAATTGCATAAATCACAAAGCCTAGGAAAGCCTAGAGAATAAAGTCATCATAGGACTCAGTGCAGGAGGCCTCATGGAGGAGAGTGTACCTGAAACAGGTCTTGGAGCCTAATACAATTTCATAAAAGGAGAGGAGAGAAAGGGGGATTGGAGAAAGGACACATGGCATAAGAGTTGCGTATTTGAGTGTCTACAAAACAAACAGTGGAAGTGGGAATGTGTGCAGGGAAATGGTGGGTTAAGAAGCTGAAAAGATTGTTTCAGAGAATATTTAGAAAGGCCTTGGACACTGTGCCAAAAAGTCTGGACCATGGAAGATGTTTTTTTTCAGAGGAGCGATGTGATCTCTGGATTGCCCATTGTGGAGTAGTAGTCAAAAGTTCAGGCTCAGATGCTGGACAGGCCTGGGTTTTGTGCGAGCTTGGCTGGGTAAGCAAATTAACCTCAGAAAACTTTTTTTTTGCTTATCTCTAAAATAGGGACAATAATAACCTCATCTTCCTAGGTCTTTTGTGAGGGCTAAATGAGATAATATATGTAAAGAGATTGCTATGGAGCAAACACCCAGTATATGTCAGGGTGGAGATCATTTGTTTCATTTGGCAAGTACTCAGAAAATACATATGCTGGGCATGGTGCATGAGCTATGGTTTGATGATGTTAAAATGAATTAAACTGTGCAGACTTTAAAATGCACTAAATCACATCCTCAGCAGCAACTTGCAAGGGAAGTAGTTTGATGAGTCGGATGGAGAAGGAATAGAGAAGGAAGACCCTAGAGACAAAGAGAACAGATCAAAGTTATTTTAAAAGTACAAGGAAGATAACCTTGTATTAGGACCTCCATGAGAATTACTGGGATGTGTTTTAACCTGTGGTATTTACAATCCTTGTATCAACGTTCCTCTGGACTCCATATTGGCATAATATATTTCCATCTGTTTCCTAGAATAACGGGAAAAAAAAGAACACCTCCCACTGTTTTTAAAAATTCCCTCATTCATTTGGAATCAGGGCTTTTATGCAAGTGCTGTACTCCATTCAATCAGTATTTCATCCTCAGAGCTAAAGTCATGTTTCCCAAACTAACATTGTTTTTCAATTAATTAAAATCAGCTAAGAACAATTAATTGAATGCTGTCACAGCACCATAAATCATTGTGATGCCTCCTTGTCATCACCCGGCTTCTGAAAACACATCTTGTGGCAAGATCCGACATAGCTTACAATAATATCCAAAATGTCTAACCAGGATGACATAATTGTCAAATATGTAATTGTGCTTTTTACTGCCAGTAGCATTCACTACCATTTGAAAATGTCAGAAATTACTACTGTAGGCAAGTCAAACATTTAAATATATGTCCAGGATACATTCTCTGCCAAGATAAAACAGCATTGCTTTGCTTCTCCTTGATGACTTTAAAGTTTAATGCTCTGTGTATCAGTAAGTGTCTTCTTGTATGTTCATACCACATTTCAAGTTGGAGAAGAATGCAAGGTAGTTTAGCTTCATCTGTCTATGTGACTAAGAATTATTAGGTGTGGAAATTGGATACAAGGATCTTTTGAAGGCAGTAAGGATGGGCTTGTCACACAAGGTAAAATTTTAAAATGAATTTTGACATATTCAATAGGCTTCATAACAACTGATTAGCATCTCAGAATATTTAGGAACCCCAGTGACACCAGCTGTCTTATAAGGGCCGTCAGATCATAGCACAGATGCACTGAAATCAAAGGAAGTGTTGAATTTATGTTGAATTTTCTCCTCTGTTTCAGAACTTCATGTTTCAATGTAGGATAGTATTCCGTAATATAAACTCTCACTAAATAGTCACTGTTGTGTAACATTTATTTAATCTTTTGCTTTATAATCTAAATTGTCAAATTAATCTGTCCTTGCCAACTTCCTCCACTACCAGCGGAGAATTAGCTGCATTAGGATGCACTCACATGACCGTTTTGTATCAGATGGTGAGATAGTTCTGTCAGACAGCTGAGTAACCACATTAAAATAACTCAACAAGTTGTTTGAAAAGACCAATCTGTTGAAATTAATGAAATTTTTTACTTACAGGAAGTACAAGTCACCACTGGAGTAGATATTAGCCATATTTATTTTATTAGAGTTTACACACAATAGGTCATTAAGGTGAACTGTGCTTTTCTTAAAATACAAGGAGTGCAAGCTTACATAAATTGTAAATATGATGCATCTATCCAAATATTTATCTTCAAGGAGATAGTTCATGGAAAACTTTTCTTTAGTCATTTGGTGGAGTGTGTAATAATGTCCTTTAATATCATGATGCTCTGCTCCTCTGATACTGTATTTGATGGTCGAACTGTGCTACAGAAAGCATTTGAACATATTGTAGACTAGTCATCAAGTTTTCTCTTCCATGAAATGGAATAGAACCAAGTCCCAGGTGAGAGAAAATGACTATAATTTTCCAATTCCATATGGAAGTTTGCGATTACTTGCAAAAAGAACAACCAACAACCTTTCAAGCCAGAGATAGGCAGACTCTTGATGGTCATCCACTGACATTTCTTCTAAATGGGATAATGCATGTGGGAGACCTGATTGATTACACTAGTTATCAAAGCAGTATTTCAGTTGTCTCTTTTTGTTGCTCCTGAGTAGTTAAAAGGATGGATCCAGAATAGGGCTGCCCAGGTGCAAATCCTGGCTCTGCCACATGGGAGCTATGTGGTGTTGGTAAGTTACAGCCCTTTAATACCGTACCGCAGCTTCATCATTTGTTACATGGACATAATAACAGTACAACCCTCATAGGATTATTTCAAAGATTGAATGAGTTTATTTACCTAATAAGCTTAGAGCAGTGTGTGACACATGGTAAGTGCTCCATAAATGTAGCCCGTTGTCATTATTTTAACTTTTGTTAAGATGAATCGATGTGTTGAAGTTAAGTGCTGTTAAATTTTTTTTATGCTTCATTGAGCGCAAGAAAGGTGTCAGGAGAATGGAAATGTTGTTCTAATTTTCGAAATTGATGGAACATTTGGATTCTGAAAATAATAGATTGTTACAATTTCTCTTTCAAAAAAATCTAGTTGAAATTACTAAACAGATGGCTTTTGAGCACTCAGAAAAAAATGCAGTGGTCACTAACCATCCTGATGTGTTAATTAAAAGCAAGCGATTCCAAACTGCCTATTCTTGTTTTTAGAAAGTGTTACTGGATTGTTGGTATAAGAGATGCTTTATCTGAGTATATGGGTTCTTTCCTTACATATTTCGATCGAAACGAACATGAGTTTGATCAAGTGGAGTTACTGTTTCTTGGGTAGACCACAAAAAACACTGTATTCTCAAGTATAGGGGGTCTTTCATACCCTATGAAAGTACAATTATTTTGCCTACTTCCATTCAATTTTTGTATCGTTGGTTTCTGCATGAAGACCTAGAAAACATCCATATCATGTAAGAGACACATTTTAGAGAGAAAGCTAATGTTGACAACAGCTCTATTTTAAAAAGAAAAGCAATTAGTAGGAATAGTGGTTGAAACAACTGAATAAAATGTAATAGGAATATATGTAAAATCATCTAATTTATTTAAAAAATCTTACAATAGTGAAGTAGTCTTGGCATAACAGACGTTTATTTAAAGACAT